>NC_000006.12:8847878-8999393 GCF_000001405.40 Homo sapiens | reverse complement strand
CATTTTTAAAACTTTTTTTTTTTTTTTTTTGAGACGGAGTCTCGCTCTGTCGCCCGGGCTGGAGTGCGGTGGCGCGATCTCGCCTCACTGCAAGCTCCGCCTCCCGGGTTCACGCCATTCTCCTGCCCCAGCCTCCCGAGCAGCTGGGACTACGGGCATCCTCCACCACGCCCGGCTGATTTTTTTTGTATTTTTTTAGTAGAGATGGGGTTTCGCCGTGTTAGCCGGGATGGTGTTGATCTCCTGACCTCGTGATCCGCCCACCTCGGCTTCCCAAAGTGCTGGGATTACAGGCGTGAGCCACCGCACCTGGCCAATTTTTAAAACTTTAATCATATTCTATCACTAGGCATTTAGGTTGCTTCACAAATAAAGTTTTGCCAATTTTTTTTCTTACCCAGAAATGATCAACTGTGCAGAATAATCCAAAAGTTATTTAATTCTTGTTTGCCATTTTATAATATGTTTGACAGGTATGAAGAAGTTTTTCTTAAGTGGAATACATGACAATTTAGGTTAACTGTGGGTGGTACAGGATAAATTATTTTTTCTTTAAATTAAGAGGATTCTTACATTTCCTTGATTAATTCAAATATCCACATATTAGATTTGCATAAGTCATGGTATTTCTTTATTTAACATTATTTACTGTATCACTTAAGTCACATACTGAGGTACCACGTTCAAATCAGTTTTGAAGCATGCGTCATAATTGATGATTTGCCCTATTATGCCAATTATTCCCACATTATTTTTAGACGTTTCAGCTACTTTCAAGCCTACCCACCCATATAAATATTTTTGCTTTGTCTAATTTGAATTTGCTAAACAGATTTTATGCAAGGTCAATTCTCATTTAGACATGAAAAATAAAATAATAAAAGACAAAAATCACTATTAAAAATTCCTAAGCACCACAATTGACTTGCTTTTGTTGTGAACTGGGTGCAATTATTATCAAGCTAAGTGCCTCTCAGTAATCAATATTAATTATTTCTGCAAGGGAGGATGTAAATCAATATTAAGAACTTTCTGGAGATTTCACAGATCTCAATCAAGAATATGTTTGCATTTGCATCCACTGTAACAAGAGCCAGCTGGGAAATGCACCATTTGCTTGAAAAGGTGGGAAACCCCACCTTTTAAAAAATCTCTGTGTCATTTTTGCAGACAAAGAAAGCGAAGTGCTGAGAAGTTTCTTGTAAAAGTATTACAGTGAGAAAAGTAAGAACATATATAACCAATTTTTCACACGAAAGTGAATGATCAACTCTGCAGAATAATCTATACAATCTTAATTTCTATTTGACTTTTTTATCTTCTGGTACTTCATTTTGCATATAAGGCATACATCTCCCTAGAAATCCCCAAAGAGCAAGAAGGGGGCTGAAGGTTGGAAGAGAGAGAGAGAGCTCATGGGAGCCTGGACTACATATTTCTCCTATGAGATCTTTTATTACCCCAACATTTCCCTCATATCTTTCCATAGCTTATTTGCCTGACTGGATTCTTCATTTGGGCAGGGTCTTATTTATCTTGTCCCCTTCTCTAGCTCACTTGCCTAGTACAGTGTCTGGTCATGGTAGGACCTCCACTGTATGTATTCCTTGTGTGTCAGTTCCTTGCAATGAACAAAAGCAAGGAAGGACAGACAGATGGAAGGAAGGAAGAGAAGTAGAGGCAAAGAGGAGAAAGAGAGGAAGAGAAGGAGGGAGAAATGGAGGGAGGAAAGAAGGAAGAAAGGAAGAAAGCAAAGAAAAAGAGAGGGAGGGAGGGAAAGGGGAAGAGAAGAAGAGAGGGATGGAGAGAGGGAGAAAGAAAGAAAGAACCAGTCTAGCAGATATCTTAATTTCTTGCAACTGACTCATTAAAAGTAACATTCATTTCCATTATACAAAGAGCAAGAAACAGAAAGAAGTAACTGTCATCTTCACCAGCTCTCAAATTGTCTTCAAACTCTAGCTGTATCATTTGGTTTAGAATTTGGAAATTCCTGGGCATAGATGTAACGATGTTCAGATGAAAGTTTTAAAACTGCATTCCAGAGCATTTCAATCTGTAGTATTTCATCCTCAATACTATGGAGATAGGAAATAATATATTATACCAAGAAGGCATTTGACATCTATTAGTGAGTTCATCTGTAACACTAGGTTTACCCTGGAAAGTTCAACTACAACATACGGTAATAAAGGGACCACATTCTAGAGAAAACATCTCCTAGCTCCTTCTCCTTTTCCTTCCCCTCCTCCTACTTTCAGCAACATACTTCAGAAAAAGATAAACTCTCTGTGCTCCTGTCCAATTAGATCAGACTTTTAAAAAGAGGTAAAATCCTGATGTGTTCTATGCAGCATTTGAAAGTATACTTCCTAAAAGATTAAGTTATTATGTTTAAAGTAACATGAGTGTTTTAGCTGTATTACCACTTGAACAATTCTTATGTCAAAACTGCGCAATGCTTTTTACAAAACTTTAATATACCCATTTAGGGTTCTTGGTTTAAATTGGTATTTAAGTTCTTGACTGTGTGTATTAATGGCTATCACAAAGTCGGCTCTATCATTGATAAGCTAATCTAAACTGTGTTGTAAAATAACCTGTTTATCACATAACACCAGAAAAAAAAATGAACCATCTTATACCAGTCAGAATGGCTGTTATTGTTGGCCTGGATGCAGAGAAAAGAAAATCCTTATACACTGTTTTCAGGAATGTAAATTAGTTCAACCTCTATTGAAAATAGTATGGAGATTTCTCAAGGAAATAAAAATAGAACTACCATTCCACCCAGCACTCCCACTACTGGGTGTCTACGGAAAGGAAAATAAATCATTACATTAAAAAGATGCCATTGGGAGACCAAGGAGGGTGGATCACGTGGTCAGGATATTGAGACCATCCTGGCCAACATGGTTAAACCCTGTCTCTACTAAAAATACAAAAATTAGCTGGGCATGGTGCTGCGTGCCTGTAATCCCGGCTGCTCCGGAGGCTGAGACAGGAGAATTGCTTGAACCAGGGAGTCAAAGGTTGCACTGAGCCAAGATGGTGTCCCTGCACTCCAGCATGAAGACAGAGAGAGACTCCATCTCAAAAAAAAAAGATACCTGTACATGTATGTTCACTACAGCACTATTCACAAGAAAAGAGTCACAGAACCAACCTAAATAGCCATCAATGGTTAACTGGATAAAAGAAATGTGGTGTATATATACACTGAGGAATACTACACAGCCATAAAAAAGAATGTAATCATGTCCTTTGCAGCAACATGGGTAGAGCTGGAAGCCATGATCCTAAGTGAACTGATTCAAAAACAGAAAGTGAAATACTGCATGTTCTCGCTTATAAGTGGGAACTTGAAGCAATGGATACACATGGACATAAAAATGAAAATAATAGACACTGGGGACTCCAAAAGGGAGGAGGGCAAGGTTTGAAAATTACCTATTGGGAACAATATTCACAATTTAGGAAATGCGTATACCATAAGCCCATATCTCACCAGTACACAATACATCCATGAAACGAACATTCACATGACACTCTGAATCTAAAATAAAATAAAATTTAAACAATTAATTATTTTCCTACTACAAATGATGCCATTTCCTTCCCTTATCATTTGTATATAGTTAATTCCTGAGGAAAATATTTTGTTCTCCATTTTGCTGAATCTTATAGGAAACACAAGGTGTGTATCCTCTAGAAGAATCTCTTCTTCCATTCTCTTGTGCCAATTAACTAACATCAGGAAACTTTTTAGAGGATGAAAAAGGTTGCTTTAAAGTCCCATAACCAAAATTATATCTTACTTATATTTTTCCTCCTTGCTGTAATATCACCAAATCTTATTATATTATAACAATTTTATGTATTTACATCACTCAGTTTTTCTTTATACAATCTCTTCCTGAGCTGTAATGAGGTGAATTATCAACTGTGAGTTGTCAGCATGTGTGTGTCTGTGTGTGTGTATCTGTATGTGTGTGTCTGTGTGTCTGTATGTCTGTGTGTGTGTCTATATGACTGTGTGTGCATGTCTGTGTGTTTGTGTGTGTGTGTGTGTGTGTGTGTGTGTGTATGTGCATGTGAGTTCAATCAAAATACTTGACTGGGTGGTGAGATGGGAGTGAGAGTGATATTGAATTAAAGGAAGTTTAGATTTTTATTTTAAGTAAACAAAATGTAGTATTTAGAATTATTTGTATTACACATAGCCTTCGTGAATTCTCAATACTAACAAGAAATTCATAAAACAGAAAAAATAGAACAATTATATTTATTGCCAAAAAAGCAAATAGCCATACAATTCTTTGCCATATCGGTATCCCCTAATGTCTACAAAATATGATTTGATTTGTAAAGCTCTTGTTTCAGATTGTGTCGGCCACAGGTATTCCCCTAGGAAAGTCGGACCCGAGGTTTGGTTAAGCAGCTTGCCTGGGAAAACTGTGTCACAGAAAATCCTTAAAGCAACCTTTAAGGATTGTTTAATAGGTTTAATAATTTTTAACAAACAGAAATTAAATCATGTTCATAGTGCCTTTCCACTGATTGGCATTTCAGTATTCAGTCTACACTGCCTCAACTGTACAATAATCCTCTGTGAGATTATTATGCTTCCCATTTTCTGGATAAGGATTTGGGGACTTCCCTCTCTAGAAGGGTGGAGACTTAGACCTGATCATCTGCCTCCTAGCCTAGTGCACTTGCCATTCTATCATAGTTGCCTCCAGAGCCATTAAGCACTTAAGAATTTAAAAAAAGTTCCAGAAATAATATCAGAGGTAGTTCAGGAAATGGCTATAACTCTCTCTATAAAATATTAAAATTGGTTATTTGCTATCACTCTTGTACTCAAGGACAAAATTTATTCCACTTTTGAATTCAAGCCAATAATTGTTGGCATTTATGAGGAGACTTTCTCCCATATAGATAATATGTTTTGAACTTACACTCTTTTTTGATTCATTTTTTTGTGCACTACTATTGATCCGGCTTGATTGACATGGCCTTACAGGTTCAGAATATTTTAACTCAAAAGAAACATGTTTACAAGGCAATAAACTCGGCAGGTAGATAGATTAAAAAAAGACTTTGATTTCCAAAAAGATACAAAAGCATCCTTCAAAAACTGAAACAAAGAAAACATTACAAGTTTTGATATGTGACACCAGTTGCTATTTCAGGACAATTCACCAATCGCTAATTAATGGGCAGATTAGATTTTCTTCCAATTTGCAACCACGTGCAAATTATTTCTGGGGAATTACATGTAATTTTAGCATAAACTTTTTCAGATTACATAATAAGTAGAAAGTAGACCGGTGATTCTCACCCAGGGCAATTTTGCCCCCCAGACGATATTTGGCAAGGTCTGGAGAAATTTTCGGTAGTTACCTCTGGGTGGGGAAAGTTACTGGTGAATTGTAAGATGGAGGTCAGAGATGCTGCTAAACATCCTACAATTTGCAAAACAGGCTTACATAATAAAGACTTTTCTGGCCCAAAATGTCAATAGGGCCAAGGCTGAGAAATCTTGCATTAGATAAAGCATTTGGAATGTTAGACAAATGGAAAGGAAAGAGCAGTAAGAAAACATTCGGCAACTGTGTGACAGCAAAGACTCAATCGTGCGTGAAAGTGAAAACAGCTGGTGTCAAAAATGAAAAGGCCAAGGGTACAAGTGAACACTTCTGTCACCACCACCTAAGGCTACTTTCTCAGGTAGCCCATGTCATGAAAGTTTGCTTTTCCAGACACAGCCACGAAACCACATCACCTACTCTTTCTCCAAGATGAACACTGCCCATTTAATTCCCTTCTATTACCTACTAGCTAATATACTTTAGCTCAAAATGCTCTCTGCCATTAAAGCCCTAAATTTTGGAATTTTCTTCCCCCCTCAATGATATCTGAAAATGTGAGTTGCATTTGAGACCTTCCTTCTCTGACAGAACGTCCCTGATGTTCTTTTTCTGATAGAACGTTCCTGATTTTCTTCCTTCCCTGATACTTCACCCAGCGAGTCACCTTCATTTTTCTCTGAACTCACCTAAGCTCAGGAGGAAACACATTTGCACTCCTGTCCTTTGTGATAGAGACTCTGTGAATCATTCACCAACTATCCCTGTTTCTTGCATTCATGTATTCAAAAGGCAGCAGGACATTATTAAATTTGCCACATCACACTATTTTCAAGATACCTACTTTTCTACCTTACTGCAAGTGTCACCTATAGTCTGTCACTCACAGATGGTTTTCCCAACACATTTTTTTTTCTTTTTTCTCTTTTTTTTTTTTTGAGATGGAGTTTTGCTCTTGTCACCCATGCTGGAGTACAGTGGCACAATATTGGCTCACTGCAACTTCCACCTCCCGGGTTCAAGCGATTCTCCTGCCTTAGCCTCCCGAGTAGGTGGGATTACAGATGCCTGCCACCATGCCCGGCTCATTTTTGTGTATTTTTAGTAGAAATGGGGTTTCACCATGTTGGCCAGGCTGGTCTCGAACTCCTGACCTCAGGTGATCCATCTACCTCTGCCTCCCAAAGTGCTGGGATTACAGGCATGAGCCACTGCGCCCAGCCCAACACACTTTTCCCTTATGTTTCCCACTGTTACACAAGCAAGCCAGATAGTTTTTGTTTTCTTTGAACTATATGCCTTGACCCAAAAACACTTGATGACTTGTTTTAACAGCTTCCAAAGCCATAAAATAGGTTCTGAGGATCCAGAGGTTACCTAAAAGAGCTCAAGTGTATAATTCTTCAGGGAGTTTGTAATTTATTTGGTTTCAAGCTTAAAAAACACAGCTATTTGTCATATTTCATATTTCTGGCTCAATAGACCAAATTGATGTAGTTTGTGTCTGCTCCCCACTGTAAAAAGGAGGTAAAAAGTCTAGTTGGTTACTTCTGCACGATTGTATTATCTCAAAATAATACTGAGTTTGCTTCATCAGATCTGTGTTCATTAACATCAGTAGAATTATTTGCCAGTCACCAATCTTTTTTCACAAATGACAAATTCTGGAAAGGAAGAGTTAAACATTTTGACAATTGTGTCCAAACAAAATAAAAGCTGAAAGTTACCTCGAACAGCAGCTCTCTATTCAGATGAAAGAAAGAATCCATTCTCCTGATCTCATCTCACATGGCATTTTCTTTTAAATGCTGTTTCATCTTAGTTGAAAAGCAAAGATAGGAAGCTTCACAAAGACACCTACGGGGAAAAAAAAAAAAAGACCCCCTTTCTTGATCATAAGCTTTCACTTGGTGACAAGAAGAAATCCTGTCTGCTGACGTTGACAAAGCAGTCTTGGACTCTATACAGCCTCTTTATTATGAGATCTGATCAAAGTCCTCTATATAAAAGTAAGCGCAACAGCCAAATTTTTTGTTTTACCTTAAAGACCTTCAGCTTGATCTCAAAGTCTAAAAGCTGCTCTTCTAGGAGCTTTGGAAATTGAATGTTTTTATTAGCTAACAGAATAAAACAGTGCAAATTCTGTTTATTAGATATCCCCAAAATACTCATTGCTGACATGGTACCCTAGGGAACCACCCATTTGGGGGCACAAATGACATAGCACAGCCCTTGCTCACTCAGCACACAGACTGAATTGAGAGTAAAGTGAGTTTGGGAAAAACTTTCATAAACATGTTTGTTATTTACATAGCATGTATAAAATGATTTACATGACTTAAAACTTCTTGGACATTTGTTTATAACATTCACTTGACAATTAACCATTTCCTTTCTTAGAACATCTTGGCAACTGTTGTTTTAGGCCTTTAGTTAAATTTCCTGTTCCTTGTTTTTTTTTTTTTTTAAGTTTCAAATTTTTATGACTTAACTATAGAAGTAAATTGTAACATCAATGTATGCATTCCTTTCTTTTTCTTATTTCCTGGAAAGGTTTATTTATTTATTTAATGAATTTATTGTGTATAATTAAGGTATACAACATGATATTATGGGATATATAGAGATACTAAAAAGGTTACTAAGGTGAAACAAATGAAGATATCCATCATCTCACAGTCAACCATTTTGATTGTTTTTGTGGCAACAGCAGCTAAAATCTACTCACTTAGCATGACTCTCCTATGCCATACAATTTCATTACCTACAGTCCTGAAGTTGTACATTAAGTCTCTGGCTTTGTTCATCCTACATATCCGCTACTTTGTATCCTCTGACCTACATCTCCCCATTTCTTCCCCACCACCCCTCCTTAGCCCCTGGTAACACTGTTTTGTTCTCTATCTCTGTATATTTGAAATTTAGTTTTTATATTCCACATCTATTAATAAATGATATAAAGCAATATTTGTCTTTCCTTGTCTGGCTTATTTCACTCAGCATAGCCCTATGGTAGCTCTCTTTTAATTTCCTTAGAAACCTCCATACTGAATTATTTATTAGTTCTAAAGGTGGTGTCTGTGGAATCTTTGGGCTTTTTTACATATGGGATCATGTATCTTCGAATAGAGATCATTTTACTTCTCCCTATCAGATTTCAGTGCCTTTGGTTTCTTTTCCTTATCTGATTGCCCTGGCAAGCACTTCCAGTACAATGTTGAATGGAAGTGGCAAAAGCAGGCATCCTTGCTTTGTAGCAGATCTTAGTGGAAATGTTTTCAGTTTTTCCCCACTGGTGATACTGTCAGCTGTGGGGTTTTCATAAATGGCTTTATTATGCTGAGGAACTTTCCTTTTATACCTAACCTCTTAAGAGTCTTTATCAAGCAAATACATTGAACTTTGTCAAATGCATTTTCCACATCAATTGAGATAATCATGAGGTTTTTATCTTGCATTGTGTTAATGTCATGTACTACATTGATTAATTTGCATACATTAGACTGGACTTGAATGTCAGGGATAAATCTCACTTGTTCATGATGTATAATCTTTTTGATGTGTTGTTCTTTTTTTGCATTTCTTACCTATTATTCCATCAATTGGAATGAAAGCTCTATGAGGAAGGGGGTTGTGTTTTGTTCACTCTACCAGGATGCCTAGAAGAATACCTGACAGGTGGTAGATGCATACTCTTCAATACATATTTGTTGAATGACTTTCAAATCCTCTCACTGTGCCTCAACCTGGATTTAACCCATGAACATGTCCGGGTGATTAATAAGTCATTGTTGACTCAACATGTTAACTTGTTTACAAATGTAGGATTGTAGATCATTGTTATTTATTGAGCATTAATATGTACAGCCGTGTTCTCACTTAAGCCTTAGAACAAACCTGCAGGATACAGTTTATTACCCAAATTTTACAGATGAGGAAACTGACAGAGAACATAGTAGGTAAGTTGCCCCAGTTATGGTGCAGAGCCTAGATTCAAACGTGGGTCAGTCTGATTCCAAAGCTCAGGACAACCTGAGTTAGAAGGCCATAAGTCTCAGGTATTAAACAGACTACACTGGTGGCTACTGCTATCTCTTTATACAAGTTGATATGGTTTGGATTTGTGGCCCCATCCAAATCTCATGTTGAATTGTAACCACCAGTGTTGGAGAAGAGGCCTGGTAGGGGGTGACTGGATCATGGGGGCAGATGTCCCCACTGCTGTTCTCATGATAGCTAGTTCTCACAAGAAGTGGTTGTTTAAAAGTCTACAGCCCTCCTCCTTCACTCTCTTCTTCCTTCTCTGGCTATGTAAATGTGCTTGCTTCCTTTTTACCTTCCGCCATGATTGAAAGTTTTCTGAGGCCTTCCCAGCCATGCCTATACAGCCAGCAGAAGTGTGAGCCAATTAAACCTCTTTTCTTTATAAATTATCCAGTCTCAGCTGTTCTTTATAGCAACACGAGAATGGACTAATAGACAAGGTAAAATTCATTAAAATATTTAATACTCAGTTACAGTGCTTTGTATTGTCAAAATGTTCTCAATATCAAACAAAACTACTCAGATTCCTATGATGTAAGTATTCTGATTTTCATTTGATGGACAATGGAACTAAAACAGGAAAAGAGCAAACACATTCATTAAAGGCAATAGAGCTAGAATTTCAAATTATTTTGAAATTGCTATGCCCTAATTTTATTCTCACATGATTGAGACATGTCTCAAAACACATAAGAATTATTACAACTCACATTGTTACTAGTTTGTTGTCACTAATTTGTAGTAAAGTCAGTGATTCCATGCTGGAGTTCAATGAAATACTAACAATAACAAAAACAGTAACCATTGTCTTATTCAAATGTTTGCAATATAACAAATAACATTCTATATTTTTGTAAATATAATTTTATTTAATCTTTATGTGAACCATAGGAGATAGATTTTTTCATATCATAAATAAAGATCTGACTTGAAAAAGTCAGTCACAGGACAGATGCAGTGACTCGCGCCTGTATTCCCAGCACTTTGGGAGGCTGAGGCAGGTGAATCACTTGAGGCCAAGAGTTCAAGACCATCCTGGCCAACATGGAAAAACCTTGTCTCCACCAAAAATACAAAAAAAAAAAAAAAATTAGCTGGATGTGGTGGCGCATGCCTGTGGTCCCAGCCACTTGGGAGGCTGAAGTAGGAAGGTCCCTTGAACCCGGGAGGCAGAGATTGCAGTAAGCCATGATCACGCCACTGAACTCCAGGCTGGGTGACAGAGTAAGACCTTGTCTCAAAAGAAAAAAAAAAAAGAAGAAAAGAAAAGGAAAGAAAAAAGAAAAGTTAGTCATAGAACCAGTTTTTGGTTCAGACAGAATTCAAACTTAGTGTATTTGTCAGGGGTCTCCAGAGAAACAGAATCAATAGAAATATATATATGAAATTCACATACATATGAAATTTAGTTTAAGTCTGAAGGTACAAGAACCAGGAGTGCTGATGATTTACAGCAGGCGAAGATGAATGTACCAGGGAGAGAAATTTTCCCTACCTCTGCCTTTTTGTTCTATTTAGGCACTCAATGGATTGGATGGTGCACGTGCATTGATGAGAGCAAGCTTCTTTACTCAGGCTATTTTTTAAAATGCTACTCTCATCTGGAAACATCCTCACAGACACACTCAGAAATGTTTTACCAGCTACCTGGCCATATTTTAGCTTAGATTGACACATAAAATTATCCATCACACTCACATTGACCTGAATCTAATGTGGATGTGCTGACCTACCATGCTATGCCTCCTCCCTGTGGAGAAATCACTTTGCAGTACAAATCATAAGCCATGAGACAGTTTCTCAAATGTAAAAGGAAGCAAGCATAGACCAGCGAGTTATTGTTAAACACAGTAGTTATTAAACAATATGATAGCATAAAATCCTATATGAAATAATACTGGTTGACCGATCTACTCAGGAACATAAAAGGATATATAAAAGTGCAATTCAGACCATATGCATGGAAAGATTTTAGAGAAAAGAGAAGCCACTGTGACCTGAATATTCAGATAAACATCACAGGCAAAGTGGCCTCTGGGTTCACTCAGACTCCGAAGGGCTAGTCATTGAGTCTCTACCATGTTCCAGGCTCGGTTCCAATCAGAGGTACAACAGTGGATAAATCAGTGTGGACACTTAAAGGAGGGGAGTCGGACATAGGTGGTGGAGAAGGGAGACAATTCCTTATGTGGGGAAAGGAGCAGAGTCATTGAGCTGAGCATGACATGCCATGTTCTGAGCTATGAGGAGGTGGGCTGATCTGCAGAGTTCACACTGGCAAGGAATGGGAGATCAGATTGGATGGTCAAGACATGGTTAGATTACAGCCTTGAAAATCAAGTGGAGGGCTCTGACAGGATTAGCGACCGATGGCTCTTAAAATGAGGTTTTTAGGAAGAATTTTCTAGTGACATTAAAAGGTAGCGACACCAGGAATGGAGCCCAGTTGGTTATGAAGTGTATCCTAATGTGAGATGATGATTTGGGGGCAGTGGGAACTGAAAGGAAGAGATAGATGCCGGAGACGTTAAGTAGGAAAAAATAAGATGTCAAGTTGTGTTTGCGACCAAAAGGGAAATCCACCTAGGTACCTGAAGTAATGAAGAATCCTGAGTGCCTCATTTGTTCCAGAAATGAGGGCAGGATTAGAAATGTTTCCAAGCCAACAGGCAGACCTGAATGCATGCTGGAGAAGAGCCACACGCCATGTGGGGGCTGAATGCTGGCCTTGGCCATGTCAGTAATAGAGTCTAACGAACTAAGACAAGAGTTGCAGGAAATAGACCATCAGTGTAGTGACCTTATTTCTAGGACTCAAAAGGGGATTTTACTTTCCTCTGATTCTTAATATGTTCACATGAACAATCATACAAAAGTAAGAAATTAAATCACTTTTCATTAAATGTTAGTTAATGATTTGTCTTATTATGACTATGTTTTATTATATTTAATTTATTTAATTTGTATGTATTTAATTTGTTCTAGAAATTACAAGACGTGGAAACTATAGGTTTGGAATTCTTACTAAGCTTTAGGCAAATGTCTTGGTATTTTCCCTGTTTTTGTGAAAATATCTTAAGTCATTCAAAAATATTGGCCCATATCACTTATTTATATGTAATCATATGATTTCAAAGAGGCAATTCAAAATACTGATGAAACTGCTTTATAAACAGTCAAGATTATTTATAGTTCTAGAAACAACTTTTTAATTATATTTTAAAAGTCAAGAGAGATAATTAATTAGGATGATGTGTATAGATTTGTTGCATATTCATATAAGATTGATTATAAAGTTTAAAACAAAATAGTGACTTTAAAAATGCAGAGGAGATACAAAATCAACTCAAAATAGATTACAGACTTGAATATACAATCTGAAATTGTAAAACTCCTGGAAGGAAACAGAGGAGAAAATCTTCAAATTGATCATGGCAATGATTTCTTGGATACGACCCTAAAAGTACAAGCAACAAAAGCAAAAATAGACAAATGGTACTCCATCGCACTAAAAATGCTTCTGTACAACAAAGGGAGCAATCAACAGAACAGAAGGGTAACCTACACAATCAGAGACAGAAAATTTTTGTAAACCATGTATTTCATAAGGGGTTACAAGTCAAAATATATAGAAACTATATATAGGGAACTAATATGTAGGGAACTGCTATAACTAAATAACAACAACAAAAAATAAGCAGATTAAGAAAATGAGTAAACGACCTAAACAGACATTTATCTATGTAAGACAGAAATAGCAGACAAGTCTATTAAAAGGTGCTCAACATCCCTAGTCATTAGGCAAGTAGGAGTCAAAACTACAATGAGCTATCACTTCACACCTGTTAGGATGGCCATCATAAAAAAAAAAAAAAGTGTTAGTGAGATTGTGGAGAAATTGGACGCTTGTATACTCTTGGTGGGCACATAAAATAGTGCAGCCACTATGGAAAACAGTATGGAAGTTCCTCAAAAGATTAAAAATATCACTACGGGCTGGGTGTGGTGGCTCATGCCTATAATCCCAGTACTTTGGAAAGCTGAGGCGGGCGGATCACCGGAGGTCAGGAGTTCGAGACCATCCTGACCAACATGGTGAAACCCTGTCTCTACTAAAAATACAAAATTACCTGGGCATGGCGGTGCATGCCTGTAATCCCAGTTACTCAGGAGGCTGAGGCAGGAGAATCACTTGAACTCGGGAGGCGGAGGTTGCAGTGAGCCGAGATCGCGCCATTGCACTCCAGCCTGGGCAACAAGAGCGAAACTTCATCTCAAAACAAAAACAAAACAAAACAAACAAAAAACAACAACAGTAACAACAACAACAACAACAACAAAACACTACCATATGATCCAGCAGTTCCATTCTGGTTAATTATTCTGGGTAATCATTCAAAATAATTAAAATTGGGATCTAAAAGAGATGTATCTTCACTCCCATGATCATTGGAGAATTATTCTTAATAGCAAAGATATAGAAATAATCTAAATGTCCATCAATGGATGAATGATCAAGAAAATGTATTGCATGAGTCCACTTACATGACATATGTAAAACAGTCAAACTCATGGAAACATAAAGTAGAATGATGGTTACCGGGAGGTAGGGGGAGAAGATGGGGAATGATTGTTCAATGGGTATACAATTTCAGATAAGCAAGAAAAAAAGGTTCTAGAGGTCCGAGGTACAACATTGTGCTTGCACCTAACAATGTTGTATGGTACACTTAAAAACTTGTTAAGAGGGTAGAACTCATGTTATTTCTTCTTAACACAATTTTTAAAAATGCATTGGAAAGGGTTTTACTTTAGACTGGCATTCTATATTTTCCTGAAGCTGTATGCAGAGCATCGAAGGAAATCATCTTAAACAAACAAACAAAAAGCAGCTACTGGTTAGACTATTGTCACCTGTGCATCGCTATGATTGTGTATTATTGAGTTATGTGACCAATGCTACACAGTGTGCAATGTTCTCACTACACTTGGCTGAATTCTATCAAGCTAAACACTCTTGACGGACAACATCTTGACTAGCCAAGATGCACTGACTGTTTATCAATAGTATTGATTGCACCACAAAGTTACACAATTATGTGACATAATACAAGGGGGGGGGGCGACACAAGCAACAGTTTAATAAGTGGTAGTGAATATCATTGTGTAAATTGAATACTAAACATTTGTTTGCCTAACAATTTAGGAAAGGCTTTAGAAACTGGATGTCAATATCAGATTCCTAACACTGTTTTATATAAAATCATTATGATAGACATCTTACCAATATGGAAACTGAAGGCCAGAATAATTCAGATGCCCAATGGAGACAGACTTAATAGCATGTCCAGTACTTGAGCATGAGTTTCATTGGTTATTAAGGCTAATTTATCCAATTATCCTTCATAAAAATAAGAGTTGTACAGGGCATTATCTTGTGAATAAATTATCAACATTTCGACTTCACACTTGAATCTAAAAAGAAAAATTGAATTTAGTGTCTAGTGAAGTCTTTACAGACAAGTCATATTATAAAAGAGCAGACATTTTATTAGAGATTGTCACTTGATCATTTTTTTAATTGGATATCTGAAATGTGTGCTGTGGGCCAGGCACAGTGGCTCATACCTGTAATCCCAGCACTTTGGGAGACCCAGGTGGAAGGATTGTTTGACCCTGCATAGTAAGATCCTGTCTCTAAAAAATAATAAATAATAAATAAATTAAAAAAGAAAATGTGTGTTGAAGCTCAAAATGATAATCATTTATTTACTTGGTAATGAGTCATGACCACAAATCAAATGTACTTTTCAAAAATCATCAGCTTCTTGAAACATATGGAGTAAAGGAAGTTGCCTAAAAATGAGGGATAGAAAATTATAGTGCATCCCTAAGGCAGTGGAAAATCTAAGGAGTAGGCTTGTTTAATCCACCCCTGGGTAAATCTCACTGATTCACTTAGATTATTGCCCTGTGTCGTTTTTGAAATATCTCAGAAATGTATTTAAGAATACTGAAACCATTCAATGGTCTGGATTTATAACAGAACTTTTCCATGTCTAAAATTGACAATTTCAATGGATTTTAAAGTTGAAGATAATCCTTTGCCTAAACCCACCTACTATATTTCTATTCATCCTGTACTGTTACATCCTTTATTCTCTTCATTATTTTTCATGTTCTTAGAGTTTACAGTATCATGTGGTTTATGTTTTTCTTACACAGTGATTTGCACAAATAGATAACATTTTAATTTCTAAAGAGAAATTATCACCATCTTATCAGCCTTAGCATTCACCATCAACTTATGCTAGCAAGAAATTCTGTACTCAGAAAAACTAAACCTACTGGGCAAAAGTTGAACAAATACTCTAAACTAGATAATGCAAACAGGCTGAGTTTTAACACCAGTCCACATCAATCCGAGGTAATTGTTTTAAATGCTGTAAATATTCATTTGATACCTTTACCATAGAATAAACAATTTCCTACCACTCTCATATACTTCTGAGCCTTCCAGAATACCATAAGGATTTATTTACTTCCTGTAAAACAACAGGGGTCCTTAATCCTGTCAACAGATTACTGGAGCTGAGTTCTCAATGCGTCCCGGTGGCGGCGTTGTTTGTGAAATGCTGCCATCTATGGGACAGAGGTGGGTATTGCTCAGGGCCCAGGCAGCGAAACCACAGCCGCCTCTCTGCTGCGCTACGTGGTTGGTTCAGTAAATGAAGCAATTTTTGGTCAATAAACAGGAATAAAAATCATAGCGTTGGCTAGAAAATAGACGTTGCAAACTCCAAGCTGGCACTGCTCTCTACCACAGCTATTCCTTGGGGGAAAAAAATGAGTGCTGTGGCAGTTGTTCCGCAGTAGCTTTGATCCAAATCTGTTTCTCTTTTTTTTCCTCCCACACCCACATTTACGCTTTTATCCAAAATGTTGCAATGTGGTTAGAACAATACAACCTTCCACGCATTGGCAAACAAATAGGTTAACTTGGTTAATTAAAGTTTTAAAACTCACCCATTCTGAATAATAGCATAAACCAAATTTGCGAAGGACTCCTGACCTTCCTGTGTGTCATAGACGCCTGTGAGACAATGCAATGTATTTCCATTCAAAACTTGGCAAAGAAACCCGGATTTGACGATTTCTCCCACTGATCAAAGTCCATACATCAACATCATAAAGCGCATTGTACTGTTCGAAAGAAGCTCGTCTATTTATTGAGAGTACTTTCAACAACAGTGTCATTTAATGCCCACCTCAGCCCTAGGAAACAAATCTTGCCACTGTCACTCCTTTTTCACAAAACGGTAAATTGAATGTTAGAGAAGTTGTCACTGCGCTTAAGTTTTACAGATCACTGAGCAATAGATCCAGGATTTGAACACAGTTTGTTTCATCCAAATCCAAGCAGTTATCTCCTCTCCTAGGCCTTCCTTGTGGTCAAGCACTGATGATTTAAATCTAGTTCTTCATTTTTTGTTTTCATTTTACATCTGTGTAGCCTTGGGCACATCATTTGAATTTCTTTAGTCTGAATTTTCTCGTTTTCACGACAAAAAGATTAGTGTATCTATTTCTATGTTCCTTTCCAACTCTCAATCATATAATTCATCTGTCTTGATGAGGACAAAAAAAGAAAAATGAAAGAGTCACAAATTGTCATTTGGATAAAACTTCGAAGGTTCCTTAATTCCACTCTCTCATTTTAAAGATAAAGGAGCTACGCTTGTGGAAAGAAAAAATCAAACGGTCAAGAAAAAAAATCAAATGGCTGAGAGGCACTGTTGCCAGGAGAGTTACTTTCAATGTACCGGTACCTCTAAGGGGTTTAATTTTAGTTTGATCCAGCCTCTCTAGCCAGCTGTGTGTGAGGAAAAAGAGAAGAAAGAGGAAGCCTTCAGTGCCTTCAACAGGAAAAACAGTAATGTGAGAGTGGTTACTCATCTGATAAACTAGGAAGGAACAAGGAAGGTCTAGACTAGTAGGGAGTTCTTAAAGATAAAGCTTGGAGCCCAGGTAGCTGGATCTCAAATGGGTTAATATTCATGCCAATGGGCTAACCAAGCTGGCATTCCTCCAAGCCGAAGCCTGGATAATGATATGAATATTACTCTTCCACCATGATTTGTACATCTTTCAGTACCCACTACATGGCTTAGTATAACAACCTGGTCTTGAGTAAGACTTGGGAAATCTTTGTCAAGTGAACAAATTAAACAATATTTTTTTCTCTGGACAATATCCCATTTGAATATTGAATTAGACAATATGTCGTTTCTCTAGACTCATCCTCTAGGTGACTAGAAACATGCAAAGAATGTGGCTCTATACCTAACAGGGAGAAAAGGCTAGATTATTGTCTTAGTCTGTTCAGGCTGCTATAACAAAATACACAAAACTGGGTGGCTTATAAACAACAGGTATTTATTTTTCACAGCAGGGAGGGCTGGAAGTCCAAGATCAAGGTGCCAGCAAGGTAAGGTTCTGGTAAGGGCCCAGTTTTGGGTTAGCGAATAGTGATTTATTGCTGTGTCCTCATACAGTGGAAAAGACACAGCTGGCTAGAGAGGCTGGATCAAACTAAAATTGAACCCCTTAGAGGTACTGTTACATTGAAAGTAACTCTCCTGGCAACAGTGCCTTTCAGCCATTTGATTTTTTTACTTGACCATTTGATTTTTTCCTTCCACAGGCATAGCTCCTTTATCTTTAAAATGAGAGAGTGGAATTAAGGAACCTTAGAAGTTTTATCCAAATGACAAGGGGCAAGTTAGCTCTCTGAGGTCTTTTTTTATAAGGGCATTAATCCCATTAATGACGACAGAACCCTCAAGACCCAATCACCTGCCTTATAATACTATCACATTAGAGATTAGGTTTCAACATATGAATTTTGGGGAGACAACCATTCAGACCATGGGCATTATCTACAAGACTATAACTTGTCTTAAACTCATTAAAAGTCTAGTTCATAAAGGCAAACAAGTAAATCAAATTCTAAAGGTGAATCATCACATCCAAAGAGAGGCAGGACACAAGAACTGTGTCAGAAATTGCTTAGTGAGAATATAAAAAGGATGACCACCATAGAAATTGGTACAAAATGAAAAAGCAAAAAATTTAATGAACACTTAAAGGCTGAGGAGAATTGGTTAATGTGTTCATTTGGGATTGCTAAGGGCCCTAGACACAAGGAAAGTTGCAAGACTTTATCCGTGGGTCTCTACCATTTGCTTAGGAGAAAGACTAAGGGCTGAGCGGGCGACCAGAATAATTCCCTCTCAGGAGCACTGATAAAGCAGTTGTTAGCATCTGTGAGGGTTAAGGCTCTGTCCACTTTGTAGAAGACTTTAAAACAAAAATAAAGCAAATGGTTTAAGTCTATGAGAAAGGAGAAGAAGAAAACTCAATTAGATTCTGGATAGAAGATAACTCTTATGGCACAGGCAACACTCCATTGCTACTAGGGAAAAGGTTGAACCCTGTATTCCTGGGGAGGAGAAATACAAAACAGTCTGAGACCCAGGATCCTACACAGATTTCAAGTGGAGGCTTGATTCCACTAATGGAGGGGCAGGGAACTTCTACCTAAGATTTTCAAGAAGTATGAAGGGTGTGAGATTTTACCCTACCTTAACAAGCTAAAAACTCATTAGTTTCACACAATTCTCTAAGTGCTGGCAGAATGACATGAGGCTGCTGGGTCAGAGACAGAACGCAGTTTAATACTCACTGCAATAGTGGTAGTCAGAGTGTCATGGTTTTCTTTCCCCAGTACCCTGAGCCCCACTACCCATAAGGTGACATGATGATGAGGGTCAGATGATGCTTTCA
The DNA here is from genome assembly GCF_000001405.40 of Homo sapiens. NCBI lineage: Eukaryota > Metazoa > Chordata > Mammalia > Primates > Hominidae > Homo > Homo sapiens. The sequence goes on along the minus strand of NC_000006.12, from coordinate 8,980,131 downwards.
TATGCAGTCAGTTGCATTACAGAACAAGAGCCCTAATGTAGGATGCTCCAATCTTTCATAATTGACAACAAACAAATCTACCTGACTTTTGCCCCAGAAGAAAAATATGTCTGTATTATACTGCAAACAGTATTGTTGCTGTATTAGACAGCAAACAAATCTGCAGAGGACAGGCATCAGAGGAAGGCACTATCTTTATCTTATAAAGATATTCACTATACAAATATTCTTGAAAAGAAAGTCCAATGAAGAAAAAGGCTGTCAGTGTGTCTGCTGGTCAGATGTACAGAAGGAAAGAGACTGATGGAGAATTATCTCTCCCACCCCACATACACAAAATGCCATGAAGAGGAAGTATGGAAACAGTAAAAATGTATCACTCCTGATGCCCAGACACATTGGTCCTGCCTAACATTGAGGTTGTACCAGAACAACAAAGAACTTTCCCAATTCTACCACTAGCCAAGCACCAAGTCCCTGGTATGGTATTCTATCACTGGGAAAGTGGCAAGAACCTGGAGGGAGACTATACTCTGTGGTGCAAGTATTTAGTGTTGACTAACAATGAATGGGGAAAAAACAAACGGACTCTCAGAAAAACCTAGGAGACTCTATCCTGACTCTATCCTGAGTAGCTTGAGGAGCTTGAAGTCTATAGTTCATTGAAGATAATCATAGCAACAAAAACTCCAAACCACATAAACTCCTGATTAGATTGGCCAAACCCTACATTCTAACTGAAGAACAAAAGAGGAGGTACAATCATTGCTAGGTATAAATATTATCTTCCTGCATTTCTACTATTCTTCTATGCATGATATCTGATATTCAATAAACAATTATGAGATATACACAGAAAAAAAATCAAGAAAAAAGTGAGCAACATAAGGATAGATGACTCATATATTGGAATTAACTGACAGAGGCTTTAAGATAATTGATTAAATATTTTGACACCTGGTGGAAAAGATGGACAATATGAATGGGCAAATGGGAAAATTTAGCACAGGTATACAGAAAGAGTACAATGGAAATGCTGTAAGTTAAAAAAAAAAAAAACCACAACAACAAAACCCAAAACAAACCATTTTAAAAAATCATACATAAAAAAGTAAATCCTTAGGAGGTTCATAAATAGAATGTACACAGATGAGGAAAGATTCAGTGAGTCTGAAATTAGGTAAATAAAAATTATTTAATTTTTTGAATTGAAATTCAAATTGAAATTGAAATACAGAGTTAAAATAAGTGTTTTTTTTTAAAAAAACCACCAAAATCAAAGAGCAACAGCACAATATCGAACGGTATAATTTACATGAAATTGGAGTCCCACAAGAAGGAAAGAGAGAGAGAATGTATCAGAAAAAAAAATGAGGAAGTAGTAGTTGAGAATTTTACAAAAAGAATCAAAACATTAAATCATACCTCTAAAACCCTTGGAAAGCCTCAAGTGGAATAAAAACAAAACAAAGACACACCTACACACATCATAGTTAAACTATGAAAACCAAAGATAAAGAGAAAATCTTGAAGGCAGAGAAAAAAGAAGCATTCTATACAGGGGAATGAAGATAAGGATTATAGCAGACATTTCCTCAGCAACTACACAAACCCAGAACATATCGGAGTGATCATTTTAACAGACTAAGAGAGAAAAAGAAGAACTTGTCAATGAAATTTCACAACCAGTGACAATATCTTCCAAAACTTGAGCCGAATACTTTCTCAGACAAAAAAGAAGGAAGGAAGGAAGGAAGGAAGGAAGGAAGGAAGGAAGGAAGGAAGGAAGGAAGGAAGGAAGGAAGGAAAGAAGGAAAGAGAAAGAAAGAAAGAAAGAGAAGGAAGGAAGGAAGGAAGGAAGGAAGGAAGGAAGGAAAGAAAAGCTGAGGGAATTCATTCTCAGCCGATTTGTCGTGCCAAGTAATACTAAAGGAAAGTTCTTCAAGCAGAAGGAGAATGACAACAAAGGGGAAACTTAAACCTCACAAAGAAATAGAGAAGAGTAAGAATGATACACATGAAGGGATCAATGAGTACTTTAAGGCTATATTGTGGAAAACTGGCAATGAAAATGATACATTTTCTAAAAGAAAATATGCATTATTGCTTAATTCATATGGAAGTGCACCCATGTATGAGATGACGAAAAGCTAGGACCTCACAAATAATAATGATAGTAATAATAATAACAATAGTAATGAAAATAGCAATAATAATTTGAGTCAAAATTTAGGAAATTATTTAGAATGGGAATTTAACAAACACCCACACACCTGGACTCAAACTGTTAAAATCAAACATAAAGAGAAAAGAATGGCAATTACTCTTAGCTTGGCCAGGTGATACCAATAATGGAAAAAATAAACTAAAAACTATCAAAATAAAGCCATTTATATGCACTCAGGGCTTACCAAATCTTTTATTTATCATGCTCCATTCCAATATTTAGTTTTTAACCCAATATTTTGCTTCTGAGAAATATTCCTAAGCAAAGAAAAATAATATTTCTCTCAGGCCTGCTTCATGCTTCATGACTATCACCTTCTTCCCAGCCTGTGTGGCTTTAGCCTCATTTATGGAGTAGCTTTTCTAAATCATAAATCTATCATGCCATTGCAGTTTCTAAAGGCTCTAGAAGGCCTTCCATTATCTTCAGGATCTCTTTGAGATAACACATGGGCACTGTATTAACTGGCCTCATCTTTTTGTTCAGGCAACCCTGGCTACCCTCTCCAGGGAGTCTGTTGACAGCAACCCCCTTGTCAAGAACCAGCCCCTCTTAAGTTTCCAGAACTGTGTAACTGTTTTAATAACCTAAAGCTCTTTCATACTTGTGCACATACTTATCCTCTTAATAACATCCATCTCATAAGGTTTGGTAATGATTAAATATGATAATAAATGAAAATCTCTCAGAACAATATCTGATATATAATAAAGACCAACAAGTTCTAAATCTGGTATTTGAACAAATTGTTTACTTGTACATGTTTTTCTCTGGACTATTTTCCTTCTGTTGTACCTGGCACAACTGGTTATCAAAAATATTTTTTGTTTGAAAGATAAATTCTAACCAATAAGAAGTTAAGAAATATAGTTCAACCCCTTGTGGATTATTATTGCTTTATTTTTTTAAACAGTAGTAAATAGGAAATAATGTTTAAAATGCTTATGATTTAACATAATGAATAAGCTTGATAAAAATTTTACACATAATATTAGTTCAGTATTTAAGAACATGCATGAAAAGAAAATGACCAAAAGGACTTAAATAATTAGTAGCTTTTAGGTAGTCCAGAAAATCTCTGCTCTTGTTTTACTGAGTTTGAGTATGAATTAATTTCTCTTGTCCTTTCAAATACTTCCGTCATGTGCTTGCCATTTTTATGATGAAAAATAAATAGATCTAAAACTGACTTATAGAATATTTTCAAAACTCATTAAAAACAATATAGATTCCAGCATTTCAATCCCAACATTTCAAATATTCGTCTATATTTGATGGTCAGAACACCACAGCTGCCTGTTTTTCCTTCTACTTCTCTTACTACTGCTTCTTAGTATTCCTATTGGTAAATCCTATAACTATTCTTACTTGGTAAATGCAATTACCCCAATTGCCTAATGTAGGAGTATCTCAGAGGTCAATGTTTAGACCTCTTCTTTCTATCTACATTCACTTCCTTTTTATGGCTTTAAATAACTATATGGTGATAACTTCCTAACTCCAGGCTTAAATATCCATATATTCTCAACATATCTTTTTGAACCCCTAAGGGACATCTTAACCTTAACTTGTCTAAAATAGAAACCTTGATCTTTTCTCGCCCCACAACCAAAGGTCTGCATCTTTTGCAATCTTCTCCACTCATTTATTTTCTCAGGAACATATTTATTTTTTTTATTTTTTTGGTTTTCATATTAAAACTCAACCTTGTGTCTCCAAAGCAAAATATCTCAAAAATCAGGCCATTTCTAAGGACTAAGCATGTAGTTATGAAATCATAGGTGTTGAATTATCTCACACTTGACTTGCGATAAATGTGAATTCTTTCTCGTTTCAGAGTGGTTTCTAGGAAATATTATAAATGCTTTTCAGAAAAGGGAATTATTATTTTAAAAGCTCAGTGCCAGGGCTCTTTATGTATCCTTTGGAGTGCATATGCAGAAGAGTCTTGGGGGCCAATAAAATGCTCTTTAGAAGGCACATCTTCTTCCTCATGCTACTTATTTTTATTCATTCATTGATTTAATAACTATGACATGAGCACCTACACTTTATCAGGAATATTTTTCTGAACACTGGACAGTCAGGAATGAACAAAGCATGCAAAGTTCTTGCCTTCACAGAGCTTATATTCTAGTGAATAGAACAGATAGAAATCAAATAGGCAAAATGAATATAAATTATAACAGGCAATATAAAAGTGCATGAAGAGGATACTAGTTATATATCACTGAGGAGGGACATTTTGGGCAGAGACCTGAATGAACAAAGATTTAATTTTTTATAATACAATTCACAATACTGTTAAATTCACCTGCACGGCTCACTGAATTTTGGCAGCCCAACTTCATGGCCAGTGTTGATAAAAATATTTGAAGCTGAGTCTTTTGGACCTTAGATTTGCCAACTTACATGATAGTGTATAATACCTTCCTAATTTGATACAGAATGATAATGTTTGCATTTCACTCAAACTCATCTGAATTATATTGGCTCAGAGGATCCTGCTGAGCTAGAGTGACCATTTCACTGGGAGATGCTATTGGATACAATCCAGATTGTTTCATTTAGCTCAAGAGTAATTTCCCTTTGATTTGACTTGGAAGAAATACTGGTCAACCAAGCTCAGAGCACTATGATAGCAATCCAAAAGCTGAGAAAATAAAAAAGACTATTTTTTAATCATTTTGCTTGATAAACTATATATCTTAGAACTCTGAAGTAACTCTGAAGTCAGAATATTAGGAAACTATGCTGGACCTTTTGAATTAAACTTCTAAGCTTATGTATTCCATAAATGACACAGAAGAGAAGGATGGCTTAAACACCAGAAGAAGGAAAATTAGGAAAAAGTCATAGGAAAATTATGATTTAGAAGTCTAAATACACACATATCTGAGTGTGTGTATATCCTCACATACACAGACGTATATAAACATGTACACACACATAATGTTTGTAACATATCCAGTCATTCATTCAGTCACTGAGCACCTATAATACTCATGTCATGCTTTATTATAGAAAACTGGGGTATTTTCGTGAATCAAAGGAAGATCCTCTCTCTCATGAAGTTTATCTTAGAGTAGAGCAAAATAGACAGTACTCAGTAAACAACAGATATAATAAACCAATGCATTATTTAGCACATGAGATGATAACTGCAATAAAAAAAGGAAAACTAGGATAGGAAAGGAAGATGAGGAGTATTAACATAAAGGATGGGTTATGTGTTCAAACAAGGTAGATAGGGCAAGGAATGATGAAAGAGTATGAGGTATGTGGCAAAATATGTAGAATGCATTTAGATGTGTAATATGAATATGTATTTATATACAAAATATATTTCAGGTTGACACATACATATATGAGATGAATACATACAGTAAATACATATATATTCATAAACATTTCTATTAAAATATTTTTCTTTAAGTAATAGTAATCTTTCTTACATGTATTTTCTAAATAAAATATTCCTGATATTCACTTGAAGACATTTAATATTCTCACAGATGAACGGAATAATAGATATACATATGTAAGTAAATATATTTGCAAATTATTTCTTAAACATGCTGTTTATTGCTTAATTTTAAAGGTTAAGTTCATTTTTCTACATGTAAATAGCAAAGACCTGGTTACCGATGACGTATACCTGCCTTTGAAATTCAGGTGTCACATTCCTACCTTTAGAGACAATGCATGCATTTTTACAGTTAATAGGAGTACTTGGCCAGGCAGAAGATATGTGTAACCATTATTAAAGTCATTTTATCGAACACTAGTTTTCTTCACTGCCTATATTTAGCAGATAGATATAAAGGACAGAAATGTAGAAGATAGCAGCATCAAGCTGATACAGGAAGTCTATAACACACATGGCTAAAAAGTAATTATGCTAAGATTGAGTCAAATAAAATAATATTTTGTCTTTGGTTTGAGGTTTGTAATCTTGGCGTTCACTTCTCTTCATTGCCTCATTTATGTTGGGTAACTATTGCTTGTGTTGATGATATAACACATGCTGACACCAAATATCAATGCTAGGTAAATCCAATTAAGCCCAGAAGCAAAACAGCTGGATTAGCAGTGCTTGCATAAATTATTTTTCTCCCATTTACTTTGTTTTTTTGCAAATGAGCCTTTAAACATGAAAAATTTGAGCTATCAGTGTCCCCATTCCTTATTAATATAAGAAGCCTAAAATAAAACCTTTAAAAGTAAGTGTTGGAGGTTTCCTTTTATGCTATTAATACAAGTGTTATGATTAAAGCTGCAAATGAGCATGCCTATTTTCTATATGGACTTCCTGTTTGTGAAAGAAGCTTATCAGAAGTGCATTTAAAGTGTATCTTAATAAAGAATTTCCCCCTGAAGGCTAAGAAGCTATATTATTTTTACCAGTTTTGAGTTCTCTTTTTTCCTTCTTTATCCAGAAGCATAAAGTCAGTAAATGACATAAAAACAATTTAACTAGTTAGGTTTTCAGAATAATGGATTTGCTGCTGTTAAATCAAAATACAAGGTAAAGTCATACATGAACAAAAAGGTATTTTGTCTCTTTCATTAAGAGCCATGAATAAGTATCTCATTACCTTTGTAAATATTTTGATAAAAACCACAAATTTTGATTAGTGTGATATTAACTGCATGATAAATAAAGATATATTTGAAATGTAAAAAAGAGTGAAAATGTAAATTACATTTTTACCTTACTGCTAGATTTTTAAAAATCCCTTCGTGGTGGGCAATAGATTCCTTTGTTTAAAAAATTATTGATTGTGAAATTTATGAGCTATCCTGATTTAATTTGTAATAAAGCTCTTAGTTTTTTGCATACCCTTCTTTGGTATGGATAAGAGAAACTTCTTTTAAAAAGCTTGCTGCTTACTTTCCAATACCGACTTTTGAATTATTCACTTCAGAATCCTTACATCTCTGTGTCCACCACCCTCCATTGTTAGCGCATCAGCCTTACCTAATCACAATCCAACTTACATGCTGAAAAGTCCACTTACACCAGATCCCCCAACTTTATGAAATTTCTGCCTTTGCCCTCCATCTTTAGAGACACTATTAAGACTCAAGTAATGCAGTGATTCCCTTTATTGAAGTCAGTATTTCTTTCTCTTTTTTTAACTGTAAAAATCTGTCTCTACTGAGAAGAAATGACCACCTTCAATTACAGTGTATATGTCACTGAAAAGTATTTAAATGAGAGCAGGATATAATATTTGACAACTTTAAAAATCTATTATCAGATTATAACAGTATCAGAAAAAATATAGTTTTGTGATATTAAGGTATTAGGTTATTAAGTTTAGAATAAATCAGAAAAAATCTAAAAAGAAATTCAACCAACTGTAAACCCACTTGACACTTAGTGAGTCTGCTTTTATTTGGTTAAATAGAAAATAAATCATAATTGAAGTCTAATTATTAAATCTTCAACAAACAGTATTACAGAAACACTGTTTTGTTTTGTTTTTATTCCACTGGAGGAAGAACAAAAGTAAAACTTTCTTTAAAGTTCTTCAAAATTTTTCAGGGAAGAGGTATAATCAACCACCCATTTTCTACTGCAAATTAAAGTATATTGTTATTCCTGCAACTTAAGGTGGGTAATTTTTTTCACCTTTTTTTATTGAAAGGAATCCTCACATTGATAGCTAAAGCTAAGATGAAAAATCAGCATTTTCATGCCAAACAGTGAAAATTCAAAAATGGTTTACATAGTTTTCAAATACACTCTATTCTCAAATCCTTTCCAACATGAAAGACACTTTTTGCAGGGAGAAAATGATCATTTAATTTGGCAAAACACAGAAATTTCCAGCTGAGGCACATTAAAACATTTTTACAATTGCCCCAAAGGCAGAATATTTTTACAATTTCTTTTCCTATAAAAATCTGTCTCTACTGAGTGGAAATGACCAAGTTTTCCCTGGAAAATGTTAGCACAAATACATAAATAATTTTTGCCTATCCAAAGCCTTCATAAAATGGCTTCTATCCAGTTTTACCAGTAAAGCGTAATGTTGATTTTCTTTATAATTATTATTTAGATTCAAACAAAATCTTACTGGTAAATTAACCATTGATAGACTAAGTCTTGGTTATATTATTTTTATAAAGAAATAAATTACTAGTATATGTGCTTCTAACAAAAGTTAATAATCCTGTTTGGCTATGTGTTTAATTTCAGATAACTTTCACACTAAACTTATATAGGAGCAATGTTTATGACAAGATAGGAAAGTTCACCAAGAGATGAAAACTATATAAAATAAAAAAGTCAAATAGAAATGTGAGAAATGAAAAATAAAATATTAAAGATAAAGAATTTTTTAGAGGCCTATGAATAGGGTAGACAGAGGGAAAGAATCAGTGAACTTAAAAGTAGGACAATAGAAAATATACAAACTAATATAAAAGGAGAAAAAAGTGAAATAAAAATACAAAGTAGAAAACAAAATAAAAACGTAAACATAAAAGTGAAATGAAAGCATATTGTTCCCATGTTCTGTGGAACAATAGCAAATAGCCTATCTAGCAAATCACTGGAGTTTCAGAATTAGAGGAGAAAAAAGAATGACTATGATTTCAGCTAAAACGCTCTGAAGTGTGAAATACTTGGAAGTCATCACCCTTGTCCTTACAACAACAAAAAAAAGCTGTAAAAACTGAAAATCAGCAACTTTTCTTAGGTTCATCAGAGAATAAAGGTAATTAGAAAAACTGCCACTCCAAAATTAAGAGAGACAAATGAAGTAAATACATCAGCCGAGATATGCCTACCTGAAAAAAAATTGCTGGATTCAAAAACTGGTGAAAACCATTAAGTGGTAATTTTTATCCATTGCTACAGACCAAGTGTGGATTAGGTTGAGAGTCAGAAATTCTAGGGGCCTGAAATCTTAGCAGGGGCCTATGCTATTTCATGGTTTACACCTCTAGAAACTCACCAAAAATTCTGCAGAAAACAGCCAATAAAATTTTTCTTACTGACCCTCGCAGGGGAAAAAAAAAGAGTAACTATGTGAAATATGTCCAGAGCATTCTCCATAACAAAAACTGTCTCTCCAAGGAGAAAAATCTTTACCCAAACCATATTCCACTGGAGGAAATACACTTCTGTAACTCTAGTCCCCTCTATTCTTTCTGTCTTGTGTAAGGGAGATGGGAGCTAAAAAGTGTTAGTTAAGATTATTGCTCAGGGATATGGATTCACTAAAAGACTGAGATTTGATTATGAGATTATAGAATGCTTCCCATTCCCCACACAATATAACAGCAGTGCATTGTGGTGGAAATAGCTTCAATATATAGACTTTATTTAAGTAGGAGTACTCAGGAAAGCCAAAGATAACAAGTGTAACAACAAGGAAACTAGAGGCATCTGATGTCTCCACCATCTACAGCTACAGGAAACATTAAAAAACCCAATTCGTAGCCAGATAAACATACAACAATCACACTAAAGCCTCATTTCTATCACCTGACACCCCATTTTTGCTTCAAAAAAAGATTGATTACAAAGCATGCTAAAGGAACTTTAAAAAGCACATACTGAAGAGACAAACCAAGCATCAGAACCAGACTTACATTTGAAACATATTTTGAAATTATCATACAAGGAATTTAAAATAACTATGATTAATATATTAAAGGCTCTATTGGGAAAAACGAACAACATGCATAAACATATGCACAATATAGTTGAAATATAGACACACTGAGAATCAAAAGGAAATTCTAGAAATTAAAAACACTACAAAAAGAAATAAAAAATGTCATTGATGAGCTCAGCAGTAAACTTTGCACAGCTAAGGAAAGAACCAGTGAGCTTGAAGATAGGTCAATAGAAATTTCACAAACTGAAATGCAAAGAGAAAAAAAATTAAAACCCCAGAAGTTTACATACAAAAATTGTAGGACAATTTCAAAAGATGCAACATATGTATAATTGGAATACCATAAGGAGAGAAAAGACAGGAGAGGCAGAAGAAATATTTGAAGTAATAATGGTCAAGAATTTTCCAAAATTACTGAATTTCTCACAGACACCAAACCACAAATCTAGAAAAATCAGAGTACAACCAGCAGAATAATCTATACTTAAGCATATCATATTCAAATTGTAGAAAATCAAAAACAAATAGAATAGCTTGAAAGAAGCCAGGGAAAAGACTACATTATCTATAGAGGTCTTATGGTCTGAATGTTTATGTTCCTCCCAAATTCATATATTGAAATCTTAAAAACAAGTTGATGATACCAGGGGGAGGGGCCTTTGGCAGGTGGTTAGTCAGTAAAGGCCTCAGAAAGCTAGCTAGCCCCTCCCACCATGTGAGAACAAAGTAAGAAGTTGCCAGTTTGTAACCCAGAAGAAAACCCCCACCAGAACCCTACCATGTTGGCACCCTGATCTTTGACTCCCCGGCTCCAAAACTGTGAAAAATAATTTTTTGTTGTTTATAAGCAACATGGTATATGGTATTCTGTTATAGCAGCCCTAATTGGCTAAGACAAGATGAATGAGGAAAAAAAGTAAAGCAGACTTCTCAGAAATCATGCAAAGAAGAAAGGAGGGAGGTAACACATTTAAGGTATTCAGAGAAAAATATTCAATAGCCTAAAATTCTATAGCCAGTAAAATTATCATTTAAAATAATTAAGAAATAAAGATTTTCTCAGATGAACAACACCTAGTGGAATTTATTATCAGCAGAACTTCCCTGTAAGAAATTCTTCAAGAAGAATGAAAACTCTACAAGTCAGAAGGTCATAGCTATGCAAATAAAGGAAGAGTATCAGAGAAGGAATAGTTGAAGCTAAAATAAATGCAAATAAAGTAAGAGTATCAGAGAAAGAATAAGTGAAGCTAAAATAAAGTATTTTATTCTTATTCTTGATCTATATAAAATATAACTTTAGAGTAATAACAGTGCAGTATATTGCGTGATTATAGAAAATGGATATTGAGGAGTACAGTTTCTGCTTAAAAACCTACGTGTCATTTTTGAGGCCTCACCACAGGCAATTAAAAGATTTTAATTGTAAGGCCTCCCTGAAGAAAGTTGCCCTCCCCACACCAGACTTGCCCAGCTAGAGCACTGCAGTCTCTGAAGGGAGATAAATAAAAGATGAATGAAATAGAAGAAACCATAAATAGGGAGGGCTGTGTGAAAAAAGGAGATAACACGCAAAGAATCCTGGGGAAGCTCCACCCTTGAATCAATAGAAAAAAACAAAAAAGCAGAGTGAGAAATAAGGTTGGAAATAAGATAACGAAAGGTCTGTTTAAGAAGAATTCACCCTTCCTCTCCTATGACAATCCTTACCCACCTACCCTAATGAACAGAATTCAAATAAAGCTCACTCTCATACAGAAAATTAGAAAGCTCTTTTCTGAAGCTGTTGAACAAACTAAACAGAACTGTAGTAGTTGTTGTGCATTAGACATATTTGCCACTGGGTCCCCATCTGCTCTCTAAATAAAAGTCACCCACTGGCCCAGGCTTACAAATATCCCACTCAGTTCTTTTGCTGCTTCAATTTAAAACATAGATATCCTGTAGCAATAAATACAATGATTAACAAAAATAGAAAAACTGACTAAAATTAGACAAGAAAATTTGGAAAAATAAACTTCAGAAAGTTTTTTGAGTGAAAAGAGAAGCCATAGAATATTAAGTGAAGAAAAACGAATCTCTAATAAGTTCAGAAATAGGGGATTACAAAATGGAGAAAAGGAAATTATCAAAGACATAATAGAAGAAAAAATTCAGAGTGAATGAATAGTAAGCAAATTTCATGTAAAAATCACGAGACTTTTTTCACATCTCAGTATACTGGACTTAGACTCTACTGGGGGAACCTCTCTGCAGACAATAACTATGAAACCTGGACCAAAAAAAAAAAAAAACTACGTAAAGGTACAAAATACTGAACAGAAGCAAATATATTCTTACAGACAATCTATGCTATAAGGGGAGACAGGAGTTGTACAAATAATTCCCATGTTTGAGGGGCTAGGTTCGGTCTTTTGGGCAAGTGACAGCTCAGGGAATGTACCTGGAAAACTCCAAAATATATCTAGCTGGAAAACTAGAAAAAATAAGCCTGGAAGCTATAAATACTGAAAAGAATGGGAAATCCCAGAAGGGAAAGTACTGGAAACAAATCCCCAAATTCTGCCTCCCCACTTCACTGACTCATATATATCTGAACTACACATGTGTAGAACAGAATCTTAGCGGTTCAAACAAGAAAACAATTTTTTTTGTTACAATTCTGAAGGTACTGAATTATTTTATTTTATTTTTTGAGATGGAGTCTCACTCTGTCTCCCAGGCTGCAGTGCAGTGGCACAATCTTGACTTGCTGCAACCTCTGCCTCGCAGGTTCAAGCGGTTCTCCTACCTCAGCCTCCCGAGTAGCTGGGATTACAGGTGGACCCCACCACGCCCAGCTAATTTTTTGTATTTTTAGTACAGACAGGGCTTCGCCATATTGGCCAATCTGGTCTTGAACTCCTGACCTCAGGTGATCTGCCTGCCTCGGCCTCCCAGAATGCTAGGATTACAGGTGTGAGCCACCACACCCGGCCATAAGCAGGTAGAATGTGGTGGAGTGGAAGCTACTTGGAGGAAGGTAGATAAGAAACTGAGTTTCTCAATTTGCAATTTTACCTTGTAGCTAGGTGCAGTCCACAGAGCACTCAGGAGAGACAAGGGCATGCATGGAAATGCTCCAGTCTTCCTGATCTGGTGAAGAAGATAAGAGAAGCCAAGAAACCAGGAAAACTGAAAAGACAACACAAATCTCCATAGAGAAAGAGCCAGATGAATGATTCTGAAAGCAGTTGAATTCTAGGCATTAAAAATGACTTTGTAAAACAAAAGGAAAAATGCTTATCACATAATAATAATGGAATCCAGTATCCTCTGAACACAGTATTCATAATATAAGGGACATAATCCAAAGTTATCCAATATGAGAAGTACTAAGAAAACAGAACATATCCTCAAGAAATAAGAAATTGAGTCCAACCCAAGATGAGTCACATGTTGCAACAAGTTTAAATGAGCTATTAATAACTATCCAAGGAGAAAAAATAAAACAAAATACCACGTCACAGAAACAGAAATAAGAAGAAAAACTAAATGGAAATTCTCATAATAAAAAAGAACATTTTTTGAAATAAAAAATCTACCGAATTAACTTTGTCAAAGATATGACAAAAGAAACAGTGTGTGAACTTAAAGACAGAAAAATTAAAATGATTCAAGGTCAAAAACAGAGAGGAAAACAAACCAAGATAAATATCACCTCACAGATGTGTCAGATAATATTCATATAGTCAAACATACGTATGACGGTTACATTAGAAGACAGAAGATATTTAATGAAGAAGAAAAAGATATACTCAAAGAAACAGTCGTTGAAAATATCTGAAGTTTTCAGGTACAATATTCTAAACAAAGAATAAGCAAAATAAACATCAAAGAAACCTACACGGGCACACACTGAGTAAAGCTGTTGAAGGCCAAAGATAAACACCAAATATTGAAATCAACAAGAGAAAGACAGCACATTACCTATAGGGAAACAGCTATCCAATTAAAGGCTTACCTCTTATAATAAACCACAGAGGCCGGAAGAACACGAATAAAATCTTTGAGTTGTGAGGGAAAATACCAAAACTGTTTAATTAGATTTCTATATTCAGTGAAAATATTCAAGAATGAAAACAAAATAAGACATTTTTAACTAAAAGAAAACCTAAGAGAATTTATTGTCAGTAGACTTACAGATCAAGAAGTGTGAAAGATATTCTTCCAGCTGAATGAAAATTATATTAAATGGAAACTGATCATCAGGGAGAAAAACAATCAGAAATGGTAAATGTAAAAGGCTATCTTTAGTTTGGGGAGGTGATTTTTCTTAATTATATTGTAAACCATTGCTTGAAACTAAAATATATTGCCTTGTATAATATAAACTCTACATTGTCTTGTGGAGTTTATAAGTAGATGTATTACATATAACAATTGTAACATAAAGAATGGTGCAGGTGTATGGACAATAAAACGGAAAAACTAGTGCAGCTATCTATTGGATTAATTTCGCCAATGTATAGAAAGACAAAGAACAAAAAACCTACACCATCCTTAGCAAAAGAGCGAATGAATATCAGGCAAACAAAAATAAAGGCTCTTTACTATTGTTACAGGGGAAATAGTAGTTATCACTGAAGGTGGGATTTGGGATAATTTTTTACCTATTTTTAAGATGTTTTAACGCAACCATTTTAAGCATAGAACAAAAACAAGTGTATATTTTTTTTAAAAGAGTGAATTAACTAAGAAATCGTCTAGAACTAGAGAAGAACATTTGTTTATAAAATAGTTTATAAAAGCCAGGCGCGGCGGTTTGTACCTGTAATCCCAGCTACTTGGAAGGCTGAGGCAGGAGGATCTCTTGAACCCTGGAGTTTTTGAGGTTGCTGTGAGTTATGCTCACGTCACTACACCTCATCCAGCCTGGGTGACGGGGCTGACTCCCCTCTCTCACTCTCTCTCTCTCTCTTTTTTTTTTGTTTTTTTTTCTTTGAGACGGAGTCTCGCGCTATCGCCCAGGCTGGAGTGCAGTGGCGCGATTTCGGCTCACTGCAAGCTCCGCCTCCCGGGTTGACGCCATTCTCCTGCCTCAGCCTCCCGAGTTGCTGGGACCACAGGCGCCCGCCACCACGCCCAGCTATTTGTATTTTTAGCAGAGACGGGGTTTCACCGTGTTAGCCAGAATGGCACCGATCTCCTGACCTCGTGATCCACCCGCCTTGGCCTCCCAAAGTGCTGGGATTACAGGCGTGAGCCACCGCGCCTGGCCGACCCCCATAACTCTTAAAAAAATTTGTTTAAAAGGCAGTTACGCTGGCTGAACCCATAGAGATGACTCACCAATCCTCTAACCCAAATAGACACACCTTTTATTTTTTTCTCTTTTTTCCTTTCTAGGTCAGTTAAGAATAAAACATGGAAAAGAAGAGATCAAAGGAACAGAGAGCATTGATACTCAAACTGATAACTCTAGGCAGTCATTTAGTATCATTCCTTTCATTAGCTCTCAGACCCAGAGTTTTTTAAGTATATTATCTCTTGTGGAGTTACATACAAACCTATTTGGCCTGATGTCCCATAGCCAGAAATAATTCCAAAAGATGTCTGAATCTGTGGTAAAGCTAAAGGATGACATTGAAAGATGTATTCAAAGTAATATTGGAATTAATAGATTATATTGAACTATTAATATCTAGAATTAATAGAGGATTAGACAGATTATTTACTTGTGACTTTTTGAAAATAAAAAAGCCTGCTATGTGGGTCTCATCTCTCATGTAAAACCTAACTGCATTAATATATTTGGTATTTGGATATCTTTTAAAATATTCTATTTTAAAAAATATTTAAAATATGTCTATTTTTAAAATAGGAAAAATACGTATTTTTCTATGCAGGCTAGTTCTTAAAAACTAGATGTTATTTTATTGAAGCCTATAGCCCAAGCCTCATCAGTTAGGCCCTACGGCTACCTTCACTGAGTGGTCACAGAGAAGTTACCAAAGGGGAAAAGGGTTGCTGTGCACCAAGAAAGTGATTGAAAACATGCACATGAAACAGGCAACCCAAAATATTGTTCTAGGTACAATATTTTGTTATAGTCATTCCATAGTCTATAATGTTTCATTACATAGTTTATATAAAATTGATCACATAGTAAATTATTCACTTATATGTATCATTTTGAAATATTCTAATGTAGTTAAACAAGTTTAGGTCAAGTTTTTAAACATAATACCGTCATGTGTCACTTTATGATGAGGATATATTCTAAGAAATGCATCATTAACAATTTAATCATTGTGTGAACATCACAGAATGTACTTACACAAACCTAGATGGTGTAGCTTACTACACACCTAGATTATATGGTAGAGCCTATTGCTCCGAGGCTACAAACCTGTACAGCATGTTATTGTACTGATTACTGTAGGTAGTTGCAATACAATTAAATATTTGTGTATTTAAACACATCTAAATATAAAAAAGTACAGTAAAAATATAGCATAAAATATTTTATAATGATACACCTCTATAGGACACTTCACATGAATGGAGCTTGCAGGACTGGAAGTAGCATTGAGTGAGTGAGTGAGTGAGTGAATGAGTAGTAAGTGAATATGAAGGTCAAAGGACATTACTGAACACTACTGTAGACTTCATAAATACTATGTATTTAAGCTACAGTAAATTTATTTTTAAAATATTTTTCTTTCTTCAATAATAAATTAAACATATAACTTTTCTTGTCCATAAACTTTAATTTTTTTAAGTTTTCAACTTTTTTTTTTTTGAGACAGGGTCTTGCTCTGTAGCCCAGGCTGGAGTGCAGTGGCGCGATCTTGGCTCACTGCAACCTCTGCCTCCAAGGTTCAAGCGATTCTCCTGCCTCAGCCTCTTGAGTAGCTGGGACTACAGGTGCATGCTACCACATCTGGCTAATTTTTCCTGTTAGCTAGGATGGTCTCCATCTCCTAACCTCGTGATTGGCCCACCTTGGCCTCCCACGATGCTGGGATTACAGGCATGAGCCACCATGCCTGACCGTGTTTTACTTTTAATTGTTTTTTAAACCAAGACACAAAAACACCCTTTAGCTTAGGTCAAGATCATGGAGCTGTCACTAGGCCATAAGAATTTTTCAGCCCCATTATAATCTCATGGGACAACTGTCATATATATGGTCCATCATTGACCAAAATGTCAGTATTCAGCATACTTTAAGGATGATTTACTTTTATACATATCAAGAAATGTGGGGTTGTTTGTTGTTTTCTTATAAATTTGTTTGAGTTCATTGTAGATTCTGGATATTAGCCCTTTGTCAGATGAGTAGGTTGCGAAAATTTTCTCCCATTTTGTAGGTTGCCTGTTCACTCTGATGGTAGTTTCTTTTGCTGTGCAGAAGCTCTTTAGTTTAATTAGATCCCATTTGTCAATTTTGTCTTTTGTTGCCATTGCTTTTGGTGTTTTAGACATGAAGTCCTTGCCCATGCCTATGTCCTGAATGGTAATGCCTAGGTTTTCTTCTAGGGTTTTTATGGTTTTAGGTCTAACGTTTAAATCTTTAATCCATCTTGAATTGATTTTTGTATAAGGTGTAAGGGAGGGATCCAGTTTCAGCTTCCTACATATGGCTAGCCAGTTTTCCCAGCACCATTTATTAAATAGGGAATCCTTTCCCCATTGCTTGTTTTTCTCAGGTTTGTCATGAACAGACACTTCTCAAAAGAAGACATTTATGCAGCCAAAAAACACATGAAAAAACGCTCATCATCACTGGCCATCAGAGAAATGCAAATCAAAACCACTATGAGATACCATCTCACACCAATTAGAATGGCAATCATTAAAAAGTCAGGAAACAACAGGTGCTGGAGAGGATGTGGAGAAATAGGAACACTTTTACACTGTTGGTGGGACTGTAAACTAGTTCAACCATTGTGGAAGTCAGTGTGGCGATTCCTCAGGGATCTAGAACTAGAAATACCATTTGACCCAGCCATCCCATTACTGGGTATATACCCAAATGACTATAAATCATGCTGCTATAAAGACACATGCACACATATGTTTATTGCGGCATTATTCACAATAGCAAAGACTTGGAACCAACCCAAATGTCCAACAATGATAGACTGGATTAAGAAAATGTGGCACATATACACCATGGAATACTATGCAGCCATAAAAAATGATGAGTTTCATGTCCTTTGTAGGGACATGGATGAAATTGGAAATCATCATTCTCAGTAAACTATCGCAAGAACAAAAAACCAAACACTGCATATTCTCACTCATAGGTGGGAATTGAACAATGAGATCACATGGACACAGGAAGAGGAATATCACACTCTGGGGACTGTGGTGGGGTGGGGGGAGTGGGGAGGGATAGCATTGGGAGATATACCTAATGCTAGATGACGAGTTAGTGGGTGCAGTGCACCAGCATGGCACATGTATACATATGTAACTAACCTGCACAATGTGCACATGTACCCTAAAACTTAAAGTATAATAAAAAAATAAAATAAAATAAAATAAAAAGAAATGTGGCCAGGCACAGTGGCTCATGCCTGTAATCCTAGCAGTTTGGGAGGCCGAGGTGGGTGGACTGCCTGAGCTCAGGAGTTCAAGACCAGCCTGGCCAACATGGTGAAACCCCATCTCTACTAAAAATACAAAAAATTAGCTGGGTGTGGTGGCACTTGCCTGTAATCCCAGTTACTCAAGAGGCCGAGACATGAGAATCGCTTGAACCTGGGAGGCAGAGGTTGCAGTGAGCCGAGATTATGCCACTTCGCTCCAGAGGGAGGCTCTGTCTCAAAAAAAAAAAAAAAAGAAGAAGAAATACGGGTGAAAGGGTACAGCTCAACGAAGGCTATAGATAACTTATTTAACTGCATCCTAAGTTGAAAAAAAAATCTGTTCACGATGCACCTCACTGTATTTCAATGAATTCAAAGATAGTTATTAAGATAAAGTTTTTCAAAACCTTTAAATACATTAGTTTTTGAAAATAAAGATTCCATGTACAATTAATAATTTGAAAATTATTTCCATATCAATGATTTACTTACCAAAAAAGCATTATCAAACTTCCTTATGCATTACATACATACATGTGAATTACAATAGACTAGCTTGTTTTCCCCAGTGATTTGTTTCTTTTGTGTAGTAGGATTCTCATGGATGTATGACTTTCTAATTCATTGTTTGAGAATACATGTTCCTATCTCTTTGAGATTAACATGTGACATGCTTTACTCAATAGGATGTGAAGTACTGGACTTGTTGCTAATTAATCCCAAGACAACCAGGTTTAAATGGAAGCAAGTACTGAGTTCAACAGATGTGATGGACCCATTCTAATGAGGGCCGCATGATCCCTACCTCTTGGTATCTATGTTTTCTGTATCCCCCCACACCTTGAATAGCGTCAGGATCTATGATATACTTACAAGAAATAGAATGCCTCAAAGACGATGGGAGGTCACTCTTGTATGTGCCTCATGTTGTAAGTCTCCATCTTGCTAGATGACTGCCTCTAGACACTGTCTCCCTTGCTGGCTTTGAAGAAGTATAATAAGTGACCATGTCAGGAGGCCCGTGTGGCAGGAAGCCCAGGCCTACGACTAGGTGCTGAGGACAGCTTCCAGCTTCCACCCAACAAGAGCTAGAGTTCCCAAACTTACAGTCACAAGGAATTGAATTCTGGCAACACTTGAGTGAGTTTGGAAGCACAGCTTTCCCCAGTGAAGCCTCCAGTTGAGAACTCGGCTCAGGCCCACACTTTGATTGCAGCCTGGCAGAGGACTTCAATAAACCTCACCTGGACTCCCAAGGTGTTAAATGTGTCTGTTGTTTTATACATCCAAATTTCTAGTGGCTTGTTGGTATAGATTATGTATATAATCTATACTGGATTTGATTTTGATATATATATCAGATTCTGATTATATATATGTAATATATATTATATATTAGAGCATATATACATATTCCAATATAATAGAAAAAGAATACAGCAGAATCATATATGTAGTTTTTATTTTCATATATATATTTCATGCATTGAAGTATGCAAAATAGTACAATGGACATAATTTTTAAAAATTCTGTGAAATGCATGAGTATCTTGATCTATCTATATAAATATCTAGAAGTTAGACCGGACGTGGTAGCTCATGCCTGTAATCCCAGCACTTTGGGAGGCTGAAGCAGGTGGATCACCTGAGGTCAGGAGTTCAAGACCAGCCTGGCCAACATGGCGAAACCCCGTCTCTACTAAAAATACAAAAATTAGCCAGGCGTGGTGGCACATACCTGTAGTCCTAGCTACTCGGGAGGCTGAGGGAGAATTGCTTGAACCCAGGAGATGGAGGTTGCAGTGAGTAGAGATCGCGCCATCGCACTCCAGCCTGGGCAACAAGAGCAAAAATCTGTCTCAAAAAATAAATAAATAAATATCTAGAAGTTAAAATTATAATCATTAATTATTAATAATAGTTATTTCCCATTTAGGAACCTGGGAATTTTGCAGAGTTCACTTGGAGTCAACTGGATTTGAAGATAGGTGGGGTACAGCAAGTGACAGACAAGGTTCTAGTCCTTCCTTGATACTTTTCTCTGATACTGTTGCTAGCAAAGAAAGAAAATATCCACTTAAATGAGTTTTATTATTTAACATTATTGATAGAAAATTATTAATATTGTAACTGATGTGCCAGTAAGTTTCATTTAGAGGTTTTTGCCTATCATTCGTGAAATCCATCACAAAGATTTTATAAACACCATGCACATATCACAAAGATTTTATAAACACTGTGTACATATAAATGAAAGCTACTAGGACTAACCTTAAATTTATCTTTTACATTAATATGACAAGAAAAAGAGCACTTGATAATTATAGAGTAAGATCTGCTTATTGAGATAGCAAATAGTCATGTCAGCATTTCCACTGTTTAAATGTTGTTTGATGATCACAAAGTTACACATCAGGAAAGTATCTTCAAAAGTCATTACTAAGCCATCTTGAGAACACACCACATTAAATACACTTGCTTATCCATCCATTGATATCTCTGCACTTTAAAATACCATAAACAATTGCCTTTGATGATTTCAATCACAGAAAGTCAGAGATATTTGAAGGACCATTGCTAAAGAAGAAAGGCCAGATATGCATGAGTCATCAGTTCAGCCTCTAAACTAGATCAAAGAGACATCCAAAAATGAACTACTATTTACTGTTCTGAAGGCAATCATGGTATTTAGCTGACCACAATGTAAACTTTTCTCCATCTATGTGAAATAGGCATTGTAGTCACAAATAATTATTGCACTCTAGGAAGAGATATGCAATGAAGTTTGTTGAGCTGGTATTTACCATTATCTTTTCGAAAATAATTCTTAAGAATCAAGTAGAATTTCAGAAGTCAGTTATTTTTTTTAATTAAATATACTTAGCTGTGCTGTTTCAGAGTTTTTTAACCCTTTTTCAAACTGAAAGGGTTGCAATACAAGAGATTTCTCAGTGAAGAGTCTCAGGGAAGGCCACTGTTTGGCCTAGTACACTGGCACCCAAAACCCAATGAGATAACAAAAATAATTCTGTTTATTACATTTTCTTAATGCTAATGATTTTTAGGTTGATCTTATACCTAACAATCTTGATGAACTCTTATTAATTCAGTATTTATCATTGATTCTCTTGGATTTCCTATGTCAAAATCATATCTGCCCTAAAACAACAATTTTTAATTTTTCTTTCCAATTTTTTTCTCTTCTTTGGTTTCACTGACTAAGATCTTCAGTACAATGATAAATAGAAAGTATTTCTCAAACTCTGCCATGAAGTACAATATATGTATGGATGTTTACTAGGTAAATTTAACTCAGATTATGAAAGGTCTCTCTTCATGTAACTGTATCGGAAGGCCATTTTTATGAGTAGATGTTGCAGTTTATGCGATATTTACTTTCTGTGTCTGTTGAAACTATTACCCTTGGTTTGTTGTCTTTTTAGCCATCACTGCAGTGATAAGTTGAACCATCGTAGACTTCCTAGTATAATTTCTCCTAGGTCACATTTTATTGTTTGAATTTCTTTTAATATTTCCAATGACTTCATGTAATGGACCATGTAGACTGACTTATTTAGCCTTTATTCTCACATAGTCTGTGTTAGCGATTGTTTATTCCTTGAAAATTTTGTAAAATTTCCCTATAAAATCCACTTGGTCACTTTTAGAAAATTGTGGGTGAAGTATTTTTGATAGACATTTGTATTCTTTAAATATATATTTGTATTTCCAGTATTTCTTCTTCCTTTATCATTGCAGAAAATTTTATTTTCTAGAAAATTGTCATTTCATTTTTGAATTCAAATATATTGGCATACAGCTTTTCATGGAATTACATACACTTTTACTCTTTACTGCAATTAGAGTTAATTCTATTTTCATCTGTAATATATTTATTTGTTATTTTTTCTCAATCAGTGTTTCCATTCTGTCTATTTCAGGTATTTTCAAAAACCTGTCTTTTGTATTGTTGATATTGTTTTTATATACATTTAACGTTCTTTATTTTACCTTAATGGTACTTACTTTCGATTTTATTTGAATTAATTTTTTCATTTTGTTCTTTTTTATAGTGTCTTGATATAGATGCTAGAGTAATCATTTTAAATCTTTCTTTCATTTAATTAAATGTATTAAGAGTACAAATTCCCATATAGGTGATTTTATGCTTATCTTTTACAAGTTTTAATATATATGCTTTGGTTGGCATTAAATCTTAAATATTCCATAATGTTTGCATTTGAAAAATTATCCCATAAATTATTTGGAATCGTGTTTACACTTTTTAATTGTAAGGTTGTATTTCAATTACCTTTCAAAGTTAATTTCTGATTTAATTGTATTGTGACTAGAAATGTGATTTGCAAAATATAAATCTGGTTTGGACTTCCTTTGTGGTCAGTTACATGACAATTTTTATAAATGGTTCCATATGTAATTGAAACGAATGATTTTTTTCTGGGTATAAGGTTCTATGTACCTCTAATAGAGTAGGCTTTTTCATCATGGGAATTAAATCTTAAATTGTAACTTTCTTAAGTTAACTGAACTTTCTGAGAGAGAAACCTTGCTATTTTCTTATTTTGATTTTGTCCTTATCAATTTTCCCTTGTGTTTTTGTTAATTTTTACTTTACATATTTTTGAGGCTATGTTGTTTGATTCATTGTATTGATGTAGTTTGGGGATGGATTTTTCTTTTTATAAGGAAAAAAAAAGTATTCACTGATTTCTGTACTCGTTTCCTGCGGCTGCTGTAACAAATCACCACAGACTTAGTGGCTTTTTACAATTTATGCTCAATAACGGTTTATTCTGTTGCAGTTCTAGAGTCCAGAAGTCCAAAATCAGTATCCCTGGGTCAAAAATCAAGGTGCCAACAGAATCCTCTTCTTTTTTTTTATATCTATTTCTGTTCCAAATCAGAAATTTTACTTATAGATTGTCATTTTTTAATTCCAGCCATTAGACAGTTTTTAAAAATAAGTTGTACTAATTACTATTCACCTTGCATCTTCTATCTCATTTCCTCCTAAACTCATTTTCTTCTTCCTGAGAATAAATTCCAGTAAAGTTTCAAAGAACTGTGAGTGATACATTTTCTAAATTTCCGTAATTATAAAAATACTTCTATTTTACCTTTACATTAATGTAAGTTACATTTAATAAATATTCTACACTTTTTTGTTCTTAGTTGATTATATTTTGTGAGTACTATATACTGATTTGGTGTTATGTTATTAGAATATTTACTTTTATAATCAGTCTTGAACTTTGGCCTTTTGTTAGTCAGTCTTAGGCTTAGGTGCCTATGAATTCTGAATTAGGTAGCATTCAGTTTCTTATAATTCTCTAGAATATTGAATAAAGCATACTAAGTATTTTGAAGAGGTTATGATATAAGCATCTGTGAATTTATTTATTGATTGATTTTTATCTATTGAGATATTTTAGTGTACATTTAATTAAATATATTTTTCAGGGATCTGTTCCAATGAGGATTTCCACTTTCCCATTAAATTTTACAAATAAATCAGTGAATTTTTTCTAAGTGTAATTGTGGCATCACACCATCAGTGTTTTTGGTTTTGTTTGTTTGTTTTTGAGACGGTGTCTTGCTCAGTCACCCAAGTTGGAGTGCAGTGGCGAGATCTCAGCTCACTGCAACCTCTGCCTCCTGGGTTCAAGCCATTCTCATGACTCAGCCTCCCCAGTAGCTGGGATTACAGGCACGCACCACCATGCTAGGCTAATTTTTGTATTTTTAGCAGAGACTTGGTTTCACCATGTTGGCCAGACTGGTCTCGAACTCCTGACCTCAGGTGATTCACCCGCCTTGGCCTCTCAAAGTGCTGGGATTACAGGCGTGAGCCACTGCACCCGGTGTATTAGTTTTCATAGACAGTATTTTTATGTTGATTACTTAAAAGTAGATAATAGTAATTATAATTTTGATGAATTGCTGTCAGATATGATTGTTCATATGTTTTAATCTTAGAATTTACAGAGATTTTATTTCCATCCATATATTGCCTTTAAAAAATGAGTATTTTCTATTAAATTAAAAAATATTTTTGTATCTATTCATAAACATTTTTGTATTTTGTTGCCTAACACATGGCATTGAACTAATTACTAAAGAAGATAGAGGCCAGGAGTGGTGGCTCACACTTGTAATCCCAGCACTTTGGGAGGTCGAGGCGGGCAGATCACCTGAGGTCAGGAGTTCGAGACCAGCCTGGCCAACATGGTGAAACACCATCTGTACCAAAAATACAAAATTAGCCGGGCATGGTGATGCATACCTATAATCCCAGCTACTAGGAAGGCTGAGGCAGGAGAATCGTTTGAACCCGCGAGGCAGAGGTTGCAGGGAGCCGAGATTGTACCATTGCACTCCAGCCTGGGCAACAAGAGCAAACTCTGTCTCAATAAAACAAAAATCAAAAAAAAACCCTAGAATGTCTGAGCACTTAAATTGTATTTCTCTCAATTCACAGGTATCCATCTTCAAGTCATATATGTATATATCCATCTTCAAGTCATATATATATATATATATATATTCAAAATGACATGTATGTACATGTAACATATTTTCTGGCCTCCTGTATGTTGAACTATTTCTTTACTATGTCTTTAAAAAGAAAATACATTATTTCTGGATTTAAAGTTATTAGAATATTGTCTCTTTCCTCGAAATTCTGAAATAATGCTTTATTATATTTTAGCTCTCAGAGTTGTATAGAAGCATTGTTATTCCGGTTTGATGTTTTGTACTTTGTATATGGTAGCAGTTTTGTGTTTGTTTGTTTTGTTTTTGTTTTTTTCTACCTTAAGAACTTAAGGATTTGTTCTTCAGTCTTATAATTCAACATTTACCTGACATAATTTCTTTCATATGTATGTGAATAAATACTATGATTCTTTCTATTTGCATCTGCAGGTTTTTTTTTTAGCCCTGATGATCTTTTTTATTTACTGTTTTAAGATTAGTTTGTGACTTGTAAAGCTGTCATTTTGATCTCATCACTTTACTATTTGTCCTTTATTTTCTTCATTAGAAAGATTGTCACAGGTTTGTGTCTAAATTTTTGCTTTTTTGTAGTTATTTCTTTTCTTTGCTATCTTCAATGCATATTTTAATTCTAGTATTGTAATTTTGGTTTTCTCTTGGTTGTTCATTCAGAACCCTTCTCCTATGACCTCGTTTTTGCTTCTCGTCTGCTTGTCTTTTTACCTTATGCTTTTCTGTCTTTAGCACTATCTGCTGCTTTATTTTTTGTTTTCATATTGTGACTTTTTGTATCCAGTTGAAAATGCCTTCAAAAGTGTTATCTGTTTGATTCAGTAAAGCTTTTTCAAATTTGTTTTTTCTTTGAGGCTTTAGAATGCTGATTTCATTTTTATAATTTTCCATATTCTAAGTTTTATTCTTTCTAAAACATATCTTTGCATGAGGTAAAAAACCAAACCTATCTGAATACCTTACTCATCACATAGGAAGCATATATACTTTGATTTTACGGTAGGTCCATGATGGTTGACGGAATCTCTTTCACAGATCTTTAGCCAGAGTGTAATTCATGTGAATAATTCAAACTAAAATATCAGGTTTTAACTCAACTTTGCAGATTAGCCTGGCATCATTTGAAGCCATTGTTGGGACACCTGGGACCCTGAATCACTAGTGTGATTCAGATATCCTTTCATCACAAGCGTATGCTGAGACCAGAGTTCTTGTTATCTCTAAATCTTCATTGTGTCAACATTTTAATTATGGAGACTCCCAGGACATAGTCTTTTCTCCCTAAAGAACTACTTTTACAGTTTTTTCTAGGAATATTTCTTTATGAACATAAGTTCAGATGGAGTGGAGTGGGTAACACTACTCTTTCCATCTCAAGAAGCAGAACTCACATCCAAGGAAGAAAGCCTTTCACTGCCTTTGTGAAGATTTTTATGTAGTGATGGGAGGAGCTCTAGCTTTACTGAAATACTTGCAGTATACATACTTTCTCTTGCCACTGAGATTCCACGTATGCTGGAAGACACCATGTTTGCCACTTCATTTACCCAAATAACTCTTAAATATCTTTCAGATCTTTGCTTAGCTCTTATCATTACTCCCTCCAGGTAATATTTTTGAATTTCCCTATATCAAATTAAGAGTCCTTGTTACCATGGTAACCTGTCATTCCTATTGTAGACTTTAGTACCCTTCAACGAAAATTCCTCAGTACTTGTCACTCTTGAGATCAAAGTGCCTTAAGTAGCATTGCAATACTAATACTAACAGCAGTAATATCTCTTCAATATACAGGACTTAATGGATGGAAGAGTTGTGAGCTAGAGATCAGATGTCATTTTAAACCCTAATTTCAGCAAGTAATTTTTTTTTTTTTTTTTTTTTTTTTTGAGACGGAATCTCCCTCTGTCACCCAGGCTGGAGTGCAGTGGCACTATCTTGACTCACTGCAACCTCTGCTTCCCACATTCAAGCGATTCTCCTGCCTCAGCCTCCCTAGTAGCTGGAATTACAGGCACCCACCACCATGCCCAACTAATTTTTTGTACTTTTAGTACAGACGGGGTTTCACCATGTTGACAGGCTGGTCTCGAACTCCTGACCTCAGGTGATCCATTCGCCTCAGCCTCCCAAAGTGCTGGGATTACAGGAGTGAGCCACTGTGCCCGGCCAGCAAGTAATTTTCAATCCCCAAGGATGTGGGATAAGATAGAGTCTAAAGGCTCAGAAATTTTTAGTCAATCAGAAGTAAGTGGGTGGGGCAGTAGGAGATGATGGCTATGCAGGTAGGAGGGTTTGCTGCTTCAGTTAACATCTCATCTGTGTTGAAAATCCTGCTGCAATTCTTTGCCACAGACCCTGAACTCTACCCATACCTCTATAAATGATAGGAAACCAGAGGAGAAGAATGAAATTGAGAACCAAGACACTAAGAAACAGAAAAAGTGCATTGGGTTCTAGAAGCCTAGAAGATATATTTTCCTGGACCAGTTCTCTGCTTAAAGAAATGAGTTTGTGGCTCCGAGCTACAGGTAAACAGCTAGGCTTCAATGAATTACAGGTGTACATACCGTTCCTTAGGGCCCGGAATTTAAATTCATACCACTGAACAGTTTTTAAAGGCTTTAACACATTATTTTGTTTGTATGCAAATGAAAGCTGTTAATTTCAAATGAGTCTTAACTATTTATTTAAGTAGTCCCAAAGGATATCTACTTGAACACAATTTGCTAGCAGTTATTTCAAGTACTAGATGCACTCAGAAAATAATAAACTGTATCTTTAAATTAACTCAGTAAGTTGGGTTACTAACCAACTGATCTCTAAAATTAATCTGAATCAGAGGGTCTATTGTTATTGCAGACTTAGTATTCTATTTTATCCAAATTTCAGATTTTGAAGGGAAAATTAAACTATATCTGTAGAGACTCACATGCAAATAGGATATTGCAGTTAATAAAAAGCCATTATATATATCTCCCATTTGAGCCTGACAACAAGCAAGTGAGGTATATATTATTAATGTGCTTATTTAGAAAATGAGGTAAATGAGCCTTCAGCATTTATGTAACTTGCCTCAGCTGGGGGAATTGCAGTTGGAACCCAGGACTTTGGTATGACTACAATGACTCTCAGTGACCTTGTTTGCAGGATTCTATAGTGCATAACCCCAGGTGGTCACCACGCTAATACTGAAGCAGTTAGTTATTCTGATTGGCTGATTATGCTTAAAATCATTGGAATATTTACTACCTCCATGTAATATAATTTGCAATAGCAAAGATATTGGGGGTTACTATTCTGGATTCCATCAAGGTCTTCTGTAACACTCTCAGCATGCCAAGGTAACAAAATCGTTTTGTTTTTCTTTTCTAAAGGGGGTGGCGGGAGAATGAACCACTGAACACAATCTTTCCTATCCTACCAGAATTGCAAATTTAGGATGTTTGGATTAGAATCATACAGGTGGAAGAGATTTTAGAACTTATTTACTATAAACTCTAATTTTGCATTTAAAGATGTTAAAAGCCAGGATCTAAAAGGACTTCCTGAAGTTTGCACAGCTAGTCTGTGGCAAAACCAAAATACATAAAAATAGGCCTGTTGATTTTTTTCCATAATACCCTGCTCTATGCTAAATCATATAAGCATTTGTAAAATATTCTCCACGTCATGACTGAGATAAAGCTATTGGCACAATCTTTTCAACTTCAGTGAAATGAGTATAGTGTATAAATAGATGTGAGTGTTGGGGAGGAAAAACTTTTCTACCCTTTGAGTTTATCCCTGGGGGCCTACACATTAAACTAACAGAAGAGAGATTAACAGGAGAAAGGGCATACAATTTTCATCAAAATTTACATGCATGAGAGTTTGCAGAAAAGGAGAGAAATGCAAAGACTCAAAAGCATATATACCATTTAAAAAATGAAAAGCCGATTTGGGCTTTGACGGATGATAAATTGTGGGAAAGTGTATTTCCTAGAAAATATATGGGGAAAATTAATGGAAGATAATGGAGTGTTTTAATAAGGTCTGTTTCCGTAGACTCACTTCATTGTCAACTCTTAGCCTCAGCTCTTCTCTTTCTGGTACAGGTGGGGCGCCTTCACAAAGAAAACTATTTCCTTGTTTTTAGTTAGATAAGGGAATGATAAAAATTTTCAGTTGCCTTCAGCTCAAGATAATTCTTATACCACAATGGCATATTTTGGGGTGGCATATTCTAGACGCTTCCATAAGAAAGGAGTCATTTGCTGAATAATGCCCAGAAAATGGTAAGTGCCCAATACATTTTTGATTGATGCAAGGCTATAAATAATAAATGATACAGAAACATTCAAAATTATACAGAAGTGGTTTAATTACTACCAAATACCTAATGAAGGGAAAGGGAAACAACAATATTTATAAAGAAATAACATATGAAGTGTCATGTTGAAAATTCCATAGTGAGGTCTTCCATCAGGCACTGACTGTATATTGTTTATGTATGTGTTTACTGCATGCTGTGGTACAAAATGGTAGCGTAATTTTGGTTAAATTGTTTAACTTGGACATTAGTTTCCTCAATTTCAAAATGTGGATATTAAAAAAAAACTGTTTTAATAGTTTTAAAAAACTATTTTTTTAATATATTAATATTTAATGTTGGTCCAATACTTAATATTGGACCTTGTTTCACTGAGGTCCAATTACAGTGCCACAAAAGCAGTTTTTGTAGCAATTAGTTGATTTTTCCTGTTTATGTTCTGTCTCTTTAGGAAGAGTACTAGTTTGTGGAGGTCAGAATTTTAATTAGGCACGATTTAGGGCCAATAAGAAAATAAAAGCCTGTCAGGATTAAAATGAGCTATTTTAGGTGAAAGGTTTCTTTATTGATGTGTTACTGAAGGCAAAATATGTTCATTTCTACAATAGTCAACCTTAAACTTTCAGCATTTTAACAAAATTGAGGGTTACTTATTGCCCATACCACTATTCAATGACTTGGGGGAATGTAATGGTTGGTTTCTCCTCTGTATATTTATTCAGGGACCTCAGTTTCTCTAATTTGTATTATCTTCGGGGCATTGGTACTCGAACTTTAGTATGCATCAGAATCACCTGGAGGCCTTGTTAAAGCAGATAGTTGGATGTCCTCCCAGAGTTTCTGAGTCAGTAGGTATGGGTTGGGACCTGAAAATATGCATTTCTAACAAGTTTCCAGATAATGCTGTTGCAGGATTGGAGGGTCACAATCTGAGATCTTCTATTTTTACTCTAGTTATCCATTCCCTACAGCTCCACAGCTTTCTGCAGCCGTCCAGCGGGCAATAGCAAAAGACAAAGACCACATGGAGGATCTTGGCGATGTTGTATGGGCCAGTCTTAGAAGTGATGTACATCAATTCTTCTTACGTCTCATTGCCAGAAGTTACCATCTGGCCCCCACTTCAATGCAAAGGTGGCTGCAACTAACAAGATGCCAAGGAAGCGGGGAAGCATGCAAATGTTAGTGAGTATTACCAGCTCAGCACAACCGGTGGATAGAGATCATTACATTATTTGTAATGATAATAATAATTTATTAAGGTTTTCTTTAAAATTGATATAATCAGGAAAAGTTGAAGTTAGAGCACTATCTCACTGTTATTAGAATTTGTTTACCATGTATTAGCCAAGGGAATAATAAATTAGAAAGTCATCGTTCCCCTGAGGAAGCACATGGACAAAATTTTCAACCATGATGTTAATGTGTGTCAATTTAAAAATGTTATCTTTTGGACTGAAAATTTCTCAAAAAGAAAGATAAAGCAAAGAAATTGCACCTTTCCTTAAATTAAAAGTGTCAATAAGAATATGGTACAACTCCAGTTCAGCATTTCCCTGAAGTGACTTTCATGACAGAGAGATCCATGTGTGAAATTAAACAGAATGTCATTTTGTTGAGGTGTTGCCTTTTTTTTTCTTCTTGTGGGTTGTATTTTTCTAAGTGTAATCTGAGCAATTTCAACTAAGTTTTCACTGCTCCCTTTATAACTTTTCCCATATTTATGTACTAAGAAATACATTATTCTTCATGTCATAGTGCCAAGAAATCTGGTTAGTAAAAATGCCAGATTCTTTTATTTGATTTTATTTGATTTCATTAGGGACCATCAGCCTAGCTGCTTAAGTGCCCGACTACCGTTTGCAGTTAAACATTCATTAAGGAATCCCCAGTGGGTTCATTTGTTTCACTGAGGTCCAATTACAGTGCCACAAAAGCAGTTTTTGTAGCAATTAGTTGATTTTTCCTGTTTATGTTCTGTCTCTTTAGGAAGAGGACTAGTTTGTGGAGGTCAGAATTTTAATTAGGCACGATTTAGGGCCAATAAGAAAACTGATAATTTACTAAATGGCTGTGGTGGACTTAACAGCTCAAAACAGAGGTAAATAACGCAACAGGGACCCCAGGACTCTGTTTTCCTGGTGTGCACAGCTCAGAGCCCCACAAAGTAAGGAATAGATTATGTGTTAAATGGCTGTCATGGATGCTAATGAGCGATGTGCACAGGGCACCAATATCTTAACCTCAGGTGTCATCAGAATTTGTCATCAGCAATAGTTCTGCGTCTAAAGCACATCACAAAGGAGAGTCATTCATTTCTATTTTATTTCCTCAAAGTTAGTTTGAGAAAGAAGCATTTGGCAGAATAGTACAAGAATAAATAATTATTAAAAGGCTCGAATACAGTCTAGCAAATAACCCTGAATTGACACCAATGGTAAGGTTAACATTCCATGTATTATACATAGACTGTTATGTATGTATATGTATGTTCCCCCAAACTCCTATGTTGAAGTCCTCACCTCCAGGACCTCAGATTGTGACTGTATTTGGAGACAGGGCCTTGAAAGAGGTGATGAAAGTTAAATGAGCTCATATGGGTGGGCCCTAATCCAACAGGACGGGCATCCTTATAGGTAGGGGAGATGAGGACATAGACACACAGAGGGAAAGCCATGTGAGGACACTGTGAGAAGACAGCCATCTATTAGCTGAGGGGAGAGGCCTCAGGGGAAACCAATCCTGCCAACACTTGATCTCAGGCTTCTAGCCTCCTAGACCGTGAGAAAATGAAATTCTGTGGTTTAAACCACCCGGTCTGTGGTACTTTGTTATGGCAGGCCTAGCAAACTAATAGATAGACCTGACAGATGCATTTGAGTAATCATGTTTAGATAATAAACATCGATGATTGTATATATTTGCATTATCATCCCAGTCTACAGTATCACAGGATAGCTTTACAGAAGGATAAAATAAATTATATCCAGGTTTTGGTATCCAGATATCTAAGCAAGAGCAAGAGAGTGTTCTCCTAAATGACAACTCAACTTAGAACAATTACTTCCGCAAACCATAGTAAACCAATAATGCTGCCATGTGTATTCAAAGAAACTCTTCTGCACATTGTAGATACTTCAGCTCCAAATAACGTTAAGAAGAACCCATTTTTGGAAACTTAAAGAGGAAAAAAGAAATTAAAAACTAGAGAGACAGTTGGAATGCTTGTGCCTGAACCTGTGAAAAGCCATATGTATGATTTAATATATACATTAGCTGAAATAAAATAATAAAAACTAAATATTATTAGTGATATATTTATTAAATTAATGCTTCATTTTTGTTCACCAAAACATTTCTCTTCCTGTAATTTCCAAAAGATGCTTGCAAATTTGTTTTGCTTTATCTAGGTAAGACCACTTCAGACAGATCCTTATTAAATGTCTAAAACTTTATCAAAATGTCTTGAATTTTATGATTTGGAGTTTTTCATGCCCACATCCTGGTTCCCCTGATCCTGAGGCAAAGAATAATTTTGAACTTTGAGATGTTTTAGGGAACTTTGATTTACTAGTCATAGATAAGTACGTATTTCTCAAATCATTTATCAGGCTCATGATGGCTTCATGCTGGAGCTCACCCTGCCAATGCCTCTAGCCCATGCCTCAGCCCACCCTGTTTATAGGGAGATTGGCTGCACTTCCTGTTAGCTCTCTTCCTCAGATGTCATCACAAACAAAAGGCAACAGAATGCAAAAAGAGCTCTGCTTCTACAATGACTGTCTCATTATCTCTTTTTTCTCTTAACAATATCTAGTTCCTGCTTTATTTCTGTGACCGGAAGGTGTAACATAAAGACTGGCTGCCTGCACTAAAATCCATAGAGGTAGGGAATTGGTCAACAGTAATTCTCATGCTTTGGAATCCTACTAAGATGATCTATGTGTCTTTTGGTAGGAACCTGGGTCTCCATCTCTCTCTCAAGTCGTTTTTTTGTTTTTGTTTTTGTTTGTTTTGAGGCAGGGTCTTGCTCTGTTGCCCAGGCTGGAGTACAGTGGCGCAATCTCGGCTCACTGCAGCCTCGACCTCCTGGGCTCAGGTGATTCTCCCAACTCAGCCTTGCAAGTAGATGGGACTACAGACATGTCCCACTAAACCCCGCTAATTTTTGTATTTTTTTTTTTTTTTGGTAGAGGTGGGGTCTTCCCCAGGCTGGTCTGGAACTCCTGGGCTCAAATGACCCTCTTGTCTCATCCCCCAAAACACTGGGATTGCAGGCATGAGCCACTGTACCTGGCCTCTCTCTCCACTTTTAATGACAACAATGTCTCAAATTAAATGGAACCTTAATTTGCATGTAAAGTCAGTTTTTGCTAAGCAGCCTCTAAGAAATTCTTTCTGTATCCTCAGGACCTTCATTCCCGGACCCTCTCTTTCAGAATGCACCCACATTACAAACTGAGGCATGATCATCTTCTTCCAGAGGGAATGGAATTACTCAGTTGACTCAGAAAGAAATAACAACAAAGCAGAATCTAGAACTCACTTATTCTATTTTTTTTTTTTTTTTTTTTTTTTTTGAGACCGAGTCTGGCTCTGTCGCCCAGGCTGAAGTGCAGCGGCGCGATCTGGGTTCACTGCAAGCTCCGCCTCCAGGGTTCACGCCATTCTCCTGCCTCAGCCTCCCAAGTAGCTGGGACTACAGGTGCCCGCCACCACGCCCGGCTAATTTTTTGTATTTTTAGTAGAGACGGGGTTTCACCGTGGTCTCAATCTCCTGACCTCGTGATCCACCCGCCTCGGCCTCCCAAAGTGCTGGGATTACAGGCGTGAGCCACTGGGCCCGGCCGGCTCACTCATTCTATTTTTAAATTCTCTATTTACTCATCTATTCTATTTATGAATTTTAATAAGATGACCAATTACATTTTTAAAAAATATGTGGAAAATATAGAAAAATCTTGGGGAAAAGGAACTATATTATACTTTTTAAAATGGGGTTT
The DNA here is from genome assembly GCF_000001405.40 of Homo sapiens. NCBI lineage: Eukaryota > Metazoa > Chordata > Mammalia > Primates > Hominidae > Homo > Homo sapiens. The sequence continues at coordinate 8,945,845 of NC_000006.12, read as the reverse complement.
TTCTGAGTATAGAAAATCATAAATTTAAACTGAATGGATCTAATTCTCTTGCCTGGTGACTTTCGAAATCAAGGGGAAGACATAGGATACCTGGAAAGTGACACACTTCTTAAACAAGTGATAAGAACTCAATCAACACATGTAAATTGATTTAACTCATCCTCTCAGAAAATAAAAGCCCATTCAGATTGGAATATTTTGATGCAAAGTTTGGAAATGGAGTTGCCACTTCAGGGTCTTGCAGCCCAGACAGACACTCTATGTGATGTTTTTGAGGCTTACTAAATTTTCACTTATGAAATAAAACTGTAGCTCCTAAATTTTGGTTTACTTTGAACACTTCTTGTGCCTTTTGATTTGGCCACTTTTGTTGTTCATGCTTCCTTAGCGGTTATCAACTGCTACTTATTAAGGAAGCCACCTCATTCTTCAAATTTGCAATTTCATAATCAGCGGCCCTGGACTGACATAAAGCTACAGGGAAGATTTTGCAAATTGTATCTAAAGTAAAGAAAGCATGCTCAAAATTGTGTCTTATAATAAGCTATTTATACTTTAGTATTTTGTCTCTTTTTAATACCATTTTGGGGTATACATGAGACCTTTTGTTTCTCGGTCCTCAGTTGTGTTTTCTAGTTTTCCCAGGACAGTTCTAGTTCATGCTGGTTGAACCGCCATTGTTATGAAGAACGCCATCTTTACTTCACAAACATGTTGCTGTTTATGCCATAAACCATACATTCACCATACTTATAGTCAGGTTTCTGAGTAAATGTCACACGTAAGTAAAATGTTTCCTCCTCACTAGGGGTGCCATACAGGACAGCCCACGAAGGCCCTGGGCCCAGTCAGGCCATTTTGGCCTTGCCCGTGGGTACACAAAAAAGCCACCATCAGGATCATCCTAGTCAAACGGGAAGGGCTGTTACATACCTTAGTTCTGAAACTTGAGTCCTGTCTGACTTGACGTTCTTTCAGGAGGGTAATTAATAATAATCAGTCACTGAAATAGCTTTGTACAAACAATGAGCCGCACTAAACTCCCTATAGGCCAAAAATAAACATGTGGCTTTTAGAGAATTCTGCTGACAAAGAAAGGACAGCAGTTCTTCCCAAGTTTTGTGTAGGATTTGAGACCATAATCCTCTGTCTTTGTTTTCTTGTTTTGCTTTTTGTCTTGGGCTCTCACTTGGGTCACACCTACTACCACAAATACAGTCATTGCAGTTAGTCAGTATCTTTGGGCACTATTTTTACATCATTTGTAAACAAAAGTTGCCCTAGAAAAATAACAACTTTAATAAACATGCTCTTAAATAGTAGTACAGAAAAATCACGTATCTTTGAGCTTTCCAGCAATGCTCTTTGGAAGTATAAACAGAAACACATTTAGAAAGATTTTATTGGTTTATTGTGGATACAAACAATACTCTTTTGAATCCTGGATCAATCTGGCTTGCTTTATTTCTGTAACAGACAGTCCTATAAATTATATTTCCCAGTAGCAGTCATTCCTAATGGAAATCTTAATAAACTTTCTTTCAACAAGTGTTAAGTATACTTGAGGAGAAATCTGGCAGATTATTAGGTCAAAACATGGGCTAAGGCTACTCAGTATTAAGTAGTCAGTGAAACCCACACTTTAATTTCTTGTAATTTATAATCAAGCTGTACATTTCAAATAAAGCTTTGACAAGCTAGTATTTTTTTCTATTAAGAAAAATTGGACATATACTTTAGAGTCTTTCTGCAGATATTATAAAATGTAGCAAATTAAATGCAAATAGGAAATTTATCAAGTCAAAACTATTACAAATTATACTGAAATTTTTCAACTACCTGAAAGCTAATGATGCAATAGAGATTTATATAGAAAGTGATCCTAATCCTTGTGAAAATACTGAAGTCATATGTTGGGTGGAACTCAAGAAAAGCAAACAGCCTAATGATTTTGTGTTGGTTTAACTTTTTCATTATTGTTCCAGGCCAGATTTATTATGATTATTATTATTAACTATGGAAGGAGGGATCCAAGAGAAAAAATTACTAATTCTGTTAGTCTCATTACGTATCATGCCAAATTTAACATGTAATTTTTTCCTATGTTTTCTTATAAACTTCAAATGGCTTAAATCATGTTCTAGAATGATATCCATGAATTACATTAAAAATCAGTAGAATTTTGCATTAAAAAATTGGAATGGGAAAAATTATTTCTTAAGCAAAAGTATCATATTGAGGGCATCTACACACCAACAACCGGACCTCCTTGGCTTCCAAGCAGGGTCAGCCCCAAGAAGCGGAGGCTGCCTGAGCTTCACTGAACACTCTCACATCACCAGTCCCTTAATCTAAGACCTTGCTTCTCTTCCTGGGCTGCTGAGTTAGCCTCAGCCTTCTCCTGATATCCACTCAGCCCCCTCCATTTCATGCTGATTTTCTAATTGCTTCCAAAGTGAACTTTATAAACCGTTAATTGGCTAAATGCCTCATGGGCTTCTCATTGTTCCAAGGTTAAAGATCAAAATCTGGACCTACCCGGTAAGGTCCTACCTAGTTGGCCCTTTTTTCATGTTAGTTTGACCGCAGTTTGTTTTTTCATCCACATCTATCAGCTTTCATTTTCTCCATCAAGCCAGACTTCCCTGGGCCATAGGACCTTTGCTCTTCCCTCTGTCTGGGTGTTTGAATAGAAAAAGACACAAAACAGACTTTGGGGTTCTTCTGTTGAGAAAAGATTGAGAGTTCTGAACATGTGTGAGAAGGCAGTGTGGTGGCAAAGTCAACTCCAGGGGTTAGAAGATCAGCTCCGTCACTTATTATCAGTCTAACCTTGAGCGAGTTCCTTATTCTCTCTACATGTCAAGTTTTGCATATGATGATAATTTAAGTACCTTGCCCAAAGGGTGGTGTGGGGATCAAGAGAGTTAATGGATGTAAAACCCTCATAGCATACCTGGTACAAAGTAAACACTCAATGCATGTTACTATTATTGTTCTTTTTTAAAAAAAAAAATTCAAGCTCTATCCAAATAATGTATCTTCAAAAGGCTCACATTCCATAAGGGCTGTGCTTATAGTGTTTAATGTATAAACCATTCCTGATTCTAATACATGCTGATATTGGAAAGGAACAATTTTTTTTCATGTGTATAGATTTGGGGGGTACAAGTGCAGTTTTGTTACATGGATATATTGCATTGTGGTGAATTCTGCACTTTTAGTGTACCCATCACTTGAATATGTATACTGTACCCATGAAGTAATTTCTCATTTCTCACCCCTGCTCCCACTTTTCCTTCTTTTGGAGTTCTCCAATGCCTATTATTCCACTCTCTATGTCCATGTGTATTAACTGTTTAGCTCCCACTTATAAGTGAGAACATGTGATATTTGTGAGTGAGATATTTGTGATATAAGTGAGAACATGTTTCTGAGTTATTTCACTTAGGATGATGGCCTCCAGATTCATCCATGCTGCTGCAAAACACATGATTTCATTCATTTTTATGCCTGAGTAGTATTCCATAGGATATAGATATATATATGTATCAAAAGAAAGGAATAATTTTAAATGCACCGAAGAGAATGAGCAGAATTTAATTCAAGAAGCGAAATTAACACTGAATGAGAAACAGTGATAATTTTCTTTGTCACACCTATCTCAGAGTTTTTCATTTCACTAATGAGGCAGAATTAATATCATGCCATACACCGCTCTGTTATCATCAAAAAGATCTTTCTTACTACGGCTCTTCATAAATATCCACTCAGAGTAAACAGTAGCTATTCTTGTAGCCCAGCTTGGGTGATTCTTATTTGTGTTTTGGTTGCACTCTATGTTAATGCTTTCATATTCTGAGTTTCTTCAACTGAATACAGTTGCCAAGAATTGTTTCCAAGTGCTCCCTGCGATTTTGGATTGTATTCCTGGAAAAATGAAAATGAATGTAATAGTTAAAATGGATTTTTCTCCCAATAACCCAGGCTCTTGTCTGGACAGGAGATCTGGCCTGAGTTTTCACAGGGCCAATAGTGTGAGCACAGCAAGACTGCATGCCAGCCTTGCTGCTGTCCATGACAGAGCAAACCACTTGGCCAGTTCATGCTGTTTGCAAGTTGAAACTTTGTTTTCCTGTCAGCCTTGTGAATCTGAGAGGATAGCTTTTAGCAACATCTTTATTTCATTTATTTTTTTAAATGCCCTCAGAAACCCTCTTCTATTCCAAATGCCTTTCTGTGAAGTATAGATTGCGTTCTCAGGCTGTTGTGGGGGCAGCTGCCAAACTGACCGAAAGCAAATAAATCAGGAGGGGAAGATGTGGCAGTTGCCACCCTGAATCGGCTACAGACCCACGGGGCACAAGTGGAACCTGCTGATTCTCATGTCTTATGGACTAGAGGTTTTGAATAAGTTTTGTGCTAGAATGTAATTGTCAGTCTTCTGAAAAAATATGCATTTTGAGTACATACAATTTTTAAATGTACATATGTACTTATTCATATATTAATATTACTTTCACAGCCTATATACATGATGTATACACATATATATTAACTATATTATGTATACAGGGTGTGGATGTAATATACACAAGTATAAAGTAATATATAAACACTTCTAATCAAATTTTTTAATACTCATACTTAATATAAAGAATATTCCCTAAAAGTGTTTGCTTTGGGGCTATGTTTTTCTAACTGTGTTACAATTCCTCAAATTCTGTTGAATCTCCTTTTTGAATCTGTCATACATCATCATGGTAATTCTTTGGGATTAAATATAACTTTTGAAAACACATAGAAGAGACAAATATTGTAACTAATTTTTAGTAGTCAAGTGTAAATATGTGGATTTATAGAGATATGTGTGTGTTTATATAAATGTGTTTATATATTTCTATACATAAATACATTATAAATGTATACATAATTTTAAAGATATACTGATAAAGTTTATTTACTCTTGTGACTCAGATTGCAAATGAACATAATTCCAAAATTAGAATAGCAAACCTGGTTTGAACAGAAGTAAAATGGGCTTGTGGGGTGGGTGCTCAGTGCAATTAAACAACTGTGAAGTGCCTCATCATCTCTGAGCTAAGTGTTGAATATAGGAAGGTAATTGGCATACTTCCAGTTTGACTGAATGGACATCGCTCATTTGAATATACAGATTCCAATATATACGCTTTATATCAGCGTCATGCATATTTGGCATCATGAAATAAGGAGACAAAAGAGGATGTCTGTTAAGAATATGGACTCCGGCCTCAGGCAGGCGTGGGATTATGTCTGACATTCACCAATTGGCGGCCCTCTGCCTTTGGGGAATTATTTAACCTCTCTATGCCTCACTTCCTTCACCCTTGAAATATGAACTTTTGCTGTGCTGATGAGTAAGATAATAGAACAAATATAGCTCAATAAGGTTTCTGGCACAATAACACAATTCCATTAAATATGCTACCAGTGGTAATTAAAAAATAGTTTCCTCACTTCACGTTTATTTTGGATCATCCATAATAAATCATTCCAACACAGTTTTTAAAATGGAGCAAACAAGTCAGTATAGACAAATCTAACTTTATACTCCCCCAAAATAGTTAAATTGCTGTAGACAGGCTCAGTATCAGTTTTATCCAGTTTTTAAAAATTACTAGATGTCATTAGCAAATGACCTACACTAAACGCTTGAGTACACACACAATTAAACCCCAGATAAAACTCTCTTTAAGTGGTAATTTCAATATTTTCTGTTTGCTTATTTGGTGTGATATTGCTTTTGGTTTAATTGGAAAAGAGACCAGATCAGGGTTTTTTGCTGGGAAAAGAGTGGGTTAACAAAAGCCTTTGAAGAGGTTACAATAAAGCCACTAAGGAAGAGTGACTTCAGGTACCATATTCCAGAATGTTTATTTTTCTTTCTCGCTAGTTTCAAATGGGTCAGCATATCAGTAAAACAAGAAGTAAACAAAGACCTATCTCAGATTACATGAGCTCCTGGGGCCATCAACAAAGTAAACATCAGTCACCCCGTGAAAAATACAACCATTACCTGTTATTGGACACTGGCAGGCCTGGCCTGACCACCAAGTGGCACAGTTAATGAATCCACTTATTTCTAATACAAATAAACCCGAGAGAGGAAGTGGTCAGCTAAAGCTGTCTCTGAAGTCAGATGGGGAGATGGTTAATAAAAACGCTCAGGGCTGACATTTCCTTTTTATTTGAAACATGCTTTTCTTGAGAATGACATGATCTTCTTGATATGGTTTAGTAAGCTTCAGCTGATACCAGGTTCTAAGGTCTTTTAGATGGCTTTTTTTTACAAATGAAAAAAAAAAAAGGACAAATTTTTAAAATCTATAGCGCAAGGCTTAAATACAAGGAAACACAATTATTTTTACAATTAGTCACTAGTTACTTAAAAATGCTGATGGTAACAAGATACATTTTTCCTGCAGAATAGTTTGTCAAGATTTTTGAAAAACCTTAAAATTGCTCCTAATCTCTGCTCAAGCAGTTCTACTTGCAGAAGTACAGGACAGGTTAAGAAAATAGTCAGAAATACATTCAAAAGTCTATGCAAAAGGACATCCAGGAACACTTTTTTTAAATGATGACAAAATGAGATAATCTAAAAGTTTAAAAACTAATGAACTAAATTATAGCATGTCCTTAAAATGGAATATTATTATATTTTCAAAAGCATTGAATGATGAAAGAATATATTCCTACAGTATAATGTTAGGTGAAAAAGGTAATATATGCTACAATGGAAATAATTTATATTTTTTGTGTGTTTTTGTCATTTCTGTATTTCAATTTTTATTGAATTTTGTTTTGTTAAAATATACACACAAAGATATACCCACATACTGATAGGTATTTTACATAATAATGAATATATGGATGTTAAAATGAATTATCTTAGTGGAATAATGCTAAAGATAATTTTTTGCATCATATTGTTTCTGTGTTTTCAAGTTTTGAATAATGAAAATACGTTTTACAAAGTTTCTTCGGAAAGCATAGTGTATGGAATTATCATGTATCTTGTTTAGGAAATTGTGTACTCAAATGGGAAGTTTTTTTTTTTTTTGATTCCCAAAACAAACAATATTCCTTGTTTCTTCATTTTCAGAGTCAGATTCTTTTGGTGTTTAATGTAAATTCTTCAGAGGCAGTTTTACGTATTTCTTCTCCTCCTTTGCTGACATAAATTAATAGCAATCAATCACCATCTGATGTTTAAACTCCATACATTAGAAGTCTTTCGGCATTCTCTCTCTTCCTAGGCTGAAAAATGACAGTTCCTTTAAATTTTTCATATTGATCTTCTTTTCTACTCATTTAATCTTTTCTATGTGGGTATCAAAAACAATTCTGTCACGGCAAAAGTTTGAAAAGATGGTGGAAAAAGGATTTGCAGTACTATAATGCTTAACTAAATAATAAAATGGTCCACATTTTTGGCATTCTTTTTCTTCTTACCTTTGAAATAATTGAAAATGAATTAAGGCATTTATAATTTCCCATTTCTATTAAAAAAAATCCCAAATTGTTTTTTATAAATAAGCAATTGGAATTTATGCTCTTGTTTAAATTAGGAAAGTATACATTGTATTAAACCAATTTATAAATGTCCCAATAAAATAAATATTATCACATAGAGTGTTTTTCAAAAGATATGGGTCCTATAGTATATTAAACACTAATTTAAAATATTTCCTCACCTTATAATTAATTCAACATTAATTAAAAATACCCTTATTGAACACCCATATATTATAAATATTAATGACATGTATTCCTTAATATCTACTTTTTTTGCTCATTTGCTTTTTAATATTTTGCTATGAACTACCTCATCATTATTATATTCTAGCACACCCTTATGTATCCTCGACAACTGTCTACACCAAGCTCAAGTATTAGCAAGTGATACAAACTTATACAACACTTGGGTGGTGGTGGAGGCAGGGATACAGAGGGGAAAAAAAAAAGAAAAATATAGAACATTAGTGTGACTGAGGTTACATTTATTTATATTTATATTTATATATCCAGTATTCAAGAAAATGTGGTAAATATACACCATGGAATACTATGCAGCCATAAAAAGGAATGAGATCATGTCCTTGCAGGGACATGGATGGAGCTGGAGGCCATTATCCTTAGAAAATTAATGCAGAAACAGAAAACCAAATAGCACACGTTCTCATTTAAAAGTGGGAGCTAAATGATGAAAACACATGGACACATGGTGGGGAACAACGCACACTGGGGCCTGTCAGAGGGTCAGGGGCTGGGAGGAAAGAGAGGATCAGGAAGAATATCTAGTGGATGCTGGGCTTAATACCTGGGGGATGGGATGATTTGTGCGGCAAACCTCCATGGCACACCTTTACCTATGTAACAAAGCTGCACATCCTGCACCTGTGCCCCTGAGCTTAAAATAAAAGTTGGAAATTAAAAATATATATATATTACATAATATAATACTATATATTTACATATACAATGTATATTATATATTTGCATATAATACATATTTACATATATAATATATAATTATATATAATATATAATACAATATATAATACATATTCACATATATTGTATATAATTTACATATATTATACGTTATATATTATATATTTACAATATATTATATATTATATACTTACATGTTATATATTATATATAACATGTAAATATGTTACATATAATATATAACATGTGTTATATATAATATATAACATGTGTTATATATAACACGTTATATATAATATATAAATTGTCTAATTATATATTATAACAATTATATAATACATATTATATATTTACATATATATTACATATATTATGTATATGTCATATGGTTTGGCTCTGTGTCCGTGCTCAAATCTTATCTTGAACTATAATTCTCATGTGCCCACATGTCGAGAGAGAGACCTGGTGGGAGGTGAATGAATCATGGGGGCAGGTCCCCCCATGCTATTCTCATGATATTGAGTGAGTTCTCACAAGATCTGATGGTTTTATAAGGGGCTCTTTCCCCTTTGCACTCTCTCTCTTTCCTACCACCTTGTGAAGAAGGTGCTTGCTCCTTCTTCACCTTCTGCCGCGAATATAAGTTTCCTGAGGCGTCCCCAGCCATGTGGAACTGTGAGTCAATTAAACCTCTTTCCTTTATGAATTACCCAGTCATGGGAAGTATCTTTATAGCAGTGTGAAAACAAACTAATACAATATATAACATATGTACATATATAACACTTATAATATTTTATAATACTATATATATCAGTTACATTGCTTATTTAGAAATGCATATATATGCTTTTCTATCACTTTAGCAAGATATGAAATAATCAGGAAGTTCTAATCTTCAAAATAGAATAAAATAATGCTAATCGTTACTACTGTCACCTCTATGCTCCCTTCCTTTATGAATATAAGTTTCTAGTATAATAGAGTCTAATTTACTGAGTTAATTACAGTACATTTTAAATGTTTCTGGAAAAGTTATTATCATTTTTGAGCATCTACTATTGTATTTCCTTTCCCAGAAAGTAATGGGCATCTATCAGTTCTGCAAATCTTGTTCTTTTTCAACTATTGGTATGGTATTAAACAGATTACTAATTACTATCTTATCAAAATTTTATTCAACCAAATGCCTTTATTGTAGCTCATCTGAGTCGTACATGTAGTTACTGTTTGTGTTGATACTATGTGTCCTACTAGAAATAGGAGCAATTGAAATATAGGCTAGCTTAAACTTTAGATTCAGTGAGACGTGACTTCTTATGCGTCTGTTCACATTTTCCACTTTGGCTGTCATGCTTACCTATCTTTTCCTAACTGAACCTGTTGGAGGAAAGTTCTTGTGTCTCACTTCATCTTCAGAGTGGTTTCTGGCTCAACTTGAGGTGCCAAAGGTGCAAAGGTTAATCCAATTGAAGACAATGGTTCTTTGTTCTTCCCTACCTAAAATTCCAGTCATGCAGTGTAATAAGAGGACTCAGAAGGGCAAGAAATGGCCATGCCATGCAAATAGTAGCAATGTCCAAACAGGTTAAGTCCTTTCCTCATATATTACCAACTGAGCCAAATATACAGAAATAAGTAAACTTATAACTCTTTTTTATTTTTTGAGATGGAGTCTCACTCTGTCACCCCAAGCTGAAGTGCAGTGGCACAATCTCGGCTCACTGCAACTTACTTATCCCTCCTGGGTTCAAGTGATTCTTCTGCCTCGGCCTCCTGAGTAGCTGGGACTACAGGCATGCACCACCACACCCGGCTAATTTTTTATATTTTTGATAGAGATGGGGTTTCACCATGTTGGCCAGGCTGGTCTCGAACTCCTGACCTCAAGTGATCCACCCGCCTCGGCCTCCCAAAGTGCTGGGATTACAGGCGTGAGAGCCACTGCGCCCGGCCAGTAAACTTATAATTTAAGTCAGGATAATATTTTGAGTTCTGCATTCTCTCTGACCAAAGACTACAGAACTATCACATGAAAGTGAAGGTTAGAACTAACATTCATATGCAGTTACATTCAACATCATTTTATCTAGGTGCCCAACAGTTTTCTCAGAGATCATCTTTGGCTTTCAAGTCAGCTATAGTATTGACTCCTGCCTCAGTCACATATGAGCATTGAGCAAGGTAGTTAATCTTACTGACTCTTACTTTTCTTGGCAGGAAAGGGGGAGAAATAACTTAACTCACAGAGTTACAATGGGAGTTAAATAAAAAAGTAATCATAAAGTGCCTAGCAAAATGCCTGGCACATAGTGGATATATAATAAATCTTAATTTCTTTTTGCTTGAATGGCCAACTTGTGGCATTTGATTCTTCCAGTTATTGTCAATTGATTTTTCTATTTATAAAATAAATTCTCCTCAATTAATAATTGATTCATTAACTTTCAAAAAACCAGCATTAAACTCCTTTCAGTGTAAGTATGACAAACACTTGGAAAATATTATGTATTCTCATTCAAGATATTTATTCTCAGAATACTTATAAGCGAGATGCTGATTACTTATACTAAGTAACTATTATGAAGGCATTTTTCTTTATTGTTTAGATACAGAGGTAAGCAACATGAAATTGATTTTTCCTCATTTTTTAAGTTCAGGGGTACATGCTCAGGTACACGTGCAGGTTTGCTACATAGGTAAACGTGTGCCATGGTGGTTTGCTGCACAGATCATCCCCTCATCCTATGGGAATGATCAGCATCCATTAGCTGTTCTTCCTGATGCTCTCCCTCCCCCACCCCTGGACAGGCCCCAGTGTGTGTTGTTCCCCTGCGTGTGTCCACATGTTTTCATCATTTGGCTCCCACTTATAAGTGAGAACATGTGGTGTTTGGTTTTTGGTTCCTGCAGCAACATGAAATTTTTAAAAATTCGAATTTCTCATCTGGAATTTTCTTTGTGGAGAATGCCACAGAAAAGAAAAGCCCACTAGAATAAACACTGTCTATATCATATAAAAACAGAACAAAAAAATTAAGAAAAGTTATTGGTTGGGGAAGAGGCTAGAAAAATTGAAGAAGTGTTGTGTTACTGAGTTTGTCCCATATTTCAAACAATTTCATGAATTATTTCTGTTTATAATCATAGTACCTCACTTTCTCTAATTATCACATAATTAGCTGTACATGAAATTGAGCTCTTGGCTGACTCCGGTTGCACTGCCTAAGAGTTATCCCTGCTCCATAAGAAGCTGTTTTAAAATAAATAAATAGATAATAAATTGATCTCTAAGCAAAAATTCAACTTCGATAAAGTGTTGGGAACACTATTATATATCAGGCTATCGTGAAATTTCATTCTGAGAGTGTGTTCTTTCAAGTTTTATCCCAGTTTACATATGCAACCTTAAATAATCTTGTTCACACTGCCCATGTAGAAAGAATCCACTCTATTCACTCACAATCCATTGTTACATAAGTAACAAAAAGTTTCCCTTTAATTTCAAGACATAAAATCAGAAAGCTTGGGAGCGCCTGAGCTGTCATGGTATTGCTGGAGTTCCTGTTTCAATACAGCCAAGCTACATTTTCCTATAGGACCTAAAGTCGGCCACAAGTTGTCATTTAAAGATAAGAATGAAGGGGAAAACACATCCTACGATATAGGAAAGAATGTGTCATGGTCAAGATATAAAATCAGAAAAACCCTGGAATAAATGGCTCTCTACTTCAAGTAGGAATAATCAGAGTTCTGATAAAGAAACTACAAGAGAGTTGAAGTACAATTCTTTTCCTCTGGAAGGGGACCATATTCCATTTTGAATCATAAGAATGCAATTGGAAAAAAGTTATCTTCAGACACTTTTCATTTATCTCTTGGCCCATTTAATTTGCTTTCTTTAATCTCATTGCTTAAGTACATAGAACCCTAATTCTTTCAGAGATCTCATTACCTTCTGGGCAAGCTATAGGTATTTACTTCTTCTGTTCTTTTGCCTCCTCGATTTCTTGATCCCTTTCTTAATATCTGATGATTGCCTGTGTGAGTTTCAAAAGAAGGAAACTGACTGTATCTGACTCCAGAAAATGACCAGGATCCCCGTTCTTCTCCAAAACTTTAATCCATTTGGCAAGTTATTGTATTAGTTCTTAGAATGTTCTTTCAAGATAAATATTACTAACTCTTTTTCTAGAAACAATAAAGTGGGCAGAAGAATTATATTTTTCCAGTCATAATATGGAATGGTAAAACAGATATTCCTTGCCTCCTGAAATTTCAAGCCAGTCAATTGCTTTACTAGTCTAGCAATTTAGTGTTTTCTTTTCCATTTCTTATATAAATTTTAAAAAGCAGCATAAAACACGTAAGATACTATAAATGCCATGGCTCAATTTGTTGCACCATTTTACAAAAATGAAATCAGTTGCATTAGATTATAGGAAGGAACAGCATTTTTACCTTTGCCTGAAATTGTTACACATCATGCATTAATAATCTTTGGCCTGTAACCGAAGGAATATAGTTTTAATTTGCATGTAAATAAAGCAGATCTCCCATTGCAGACAATTTTCTTTTATTAGTCCCCATAAACAAGATGGCATTAAGGTGCATAGCTTGCTTCAGTGGGACATGAGGATAAATCAAAGGGATAAACAAGGCAATATCATGAAGAAAAGGAAAGTCACTGTAGATACACTTAAATAGTTAACATTCAAAATTTTTGCTATCAGTTAAAGAAATGCTAAACCCTAAGAGATTTCTGCTTACCAAACTTATACTTTTAGAAGACATAGTAAATATACACCCTAGTAAATATCTCATGTATTAGCAATTCATAAACCTCTAATTTTCTATGGTATTTTTACTTTATTTTCATACTAATTAAGTATATACTAAGTACATAGTATACAGTACTTTCATAAATTGTATTCATATATATTAAAAAATCTAATGGATAAAAAATCTAATGGATAAGTATAGCGGATGCTATTGGCTTTGTTTTACCAGTGAAGCAATTGAGTGTCAGTGGTTTGACCAAGTTCACCAAGCTGGCTCAAGAAGAATACAAGGACTCATGGTCCATGTGCATTACTGTTCCAATACGACAAGGGTTACCACTGCACAACTAGAATCGACTTGAACGTATTTGTTTATTCTTTTATTTAACATGTATTTATTGAGTGTCCATTTTTGTTAGGAATGTTTACCTCCTACTTCCTCTATGGATAATGTTCTTTTCATTCGAACCTTCTAGACTGCTGAGATAAAGGCCGTAAGAATATTTTAGCTGTTAATCATGTCGTGCAGGCAAACTTTCCCCAGATGCCAGCCAAAGGTGAACTGACTCAATGATAATTCTTCATAGTAAACAACAACAAATTCCACTCTCCTTTACCCTTGGACTTTCTACATATTTCAAGCAGTAAAAGTTTTAAGACAGGTTCTCATGAGCAAGACTCCTAAAAGGAAAGAACCACTGAAGAACGATCAGACCATATTTTTACATCAAATAAATCCCTAGGAAAATTAAGTTGCCAGATTAGCTAGTTTGACCCCAAATGATCAATAATAAAGTATACCACCTAATTTTCTAAATTTAGGTGCTTAAAAATGTGTAATCTGTTAGACCACAGCTACAATTCCTTGTTTATGCTTGTCATCTCTGTCTCTGTCTCTCTCTGCCTGCCTGCCTATCTGTCCTTTTTATAAAAAACTAAATTTTAAAAATGCTTAGTGGTGTAAAAAGAATATATTCAGTAGAGGATGTCAAAACATGTTTATGTTGTCATATACTTATAACATGAATTAAAATGTACTTGAATATGAGCAATATGTCTCTAAAGTTAAAAAAATCAGCATAAATTTAAATGAATTCAGGTCTACAATATAATCAGGATAAAACCTTTGTTGGAGGTAGCATGAAATTACATATGAAAATAATCCATTTCCCTTTGATGTAATCATTCAACCAATAATAATTTTCCTTAAAAAACAAATTTAAGAACATATTTGTTTCTTAAAAATTATAAAATATATGTGTAATGATGTTTGTAATGATATTATCAAAGCACTAAAAGTTATAAGTAGCCAAAATGTCCAAAAGCTATAGTTCTATTATACAAATCATAAAATTTTCTTGAAGTAAAATAATGTATCTTTTAAAATAATACTCATAAGAGGATTATTAATGACATAGGGAATTATTCATTAAACATTATTGAATTAAAACTTGATATTCATTGTATAGTATGATACCAGTTTTATTCTAAAGTACGCATATTCACACAACAGAGTAAATCCTGAAAGTGTATAAATCGAATGTTTAGTTTGCAAGATTGAAATTTACATTTTCCATGAGATTTTGTTCTTACATTTTTCCAAATGGTTAATATATATCTATAAAGTTCAAAAAAGCATGTGATATTTCAAATAAGCATAGGCTTGATCAAAATGCATCTGACCATTTATTCAACAAATGTCTATATAGAGTAGTGATTAAAAAGATAGCTCAAGTTCTTAATTCGACCTTGGGTGGGTTACTTAACCTTCTTAAGACTCAGATTGTAATCTCATCTATCTCAAACAATTAGTGCGAAGTTTTTTGAGAGTTTTAATTTTTGTGAGACTTAATGTAAGATAACACATTGTTGTACAGTTTAGCATATAGTAAGCTCTCAGTAAATCCTAGCTACTTCTGAGCACCCATTGTGTACCAGGAATGAGGATATAAGAATAAATTAACAATTCTTGTGATGCAGAAATCCAGTGTTAAAAATATTGGCCTGAATTAATCAGATAATTGCCCAATTTCTGCCTAAGTCAGAATACCTTAAAATTGGACAAATATAGGTATTAGAAGAATTTAGGTTATTCAGATCATTAATGGAAATAGAAATTAAATTTATCTAGGTGCTTATAATATTAAAAATATTCACTCAGTGTTGTTTTGTACTTGTTATGACTATCTTTCAAACAAAAGGAGTATTTGGCAAGGTGAGCTGAGATCAAAGTAGCAACCAGTTTTCCACGATAACTATAGGCTGCAACTAGCTGACCCGATTGCTTGATTGCTTAGGGCGCTTTGCTGATGAGGTCATCTTAGGTCCAGTTAATTTGGCTCACCATAGCTCAGTTTGCTTTTCTGTACTTCATGGTGATTGACAGTAGGCAAAATCATGGCCAAGATGCAAATGAAAATGAGGCCAGAGACTTGTCCCCTGAGTAAGTCTGATGAGTAATGAGTATTCTACTGTGAAACCCAAGTGGAAGTCATTTCAATTCAATGGAATGAATATCTCTTGAGAGCTTATTATGAGCCAAGCATTGTCATAAATACTAAGGATTCAAATATGAATAAGCTATAATCCTTTCCCTTGAGGTGTTTATAGTCATTTGGGAGAAATATGGGTAAATACACAATCACAGTGTGCTGTAGATAGTATGAGAAAGACCCACACATGATGCTAGGAAAGTATAGAAAAGGGGTAGCTAGGCTGGACATGATAGCTCATGCCTGTAATCCTAGCACTTTGAGAGGCCAAGGCATGAGGGTTGCTTGAGCCCAGGACTTTGAGATCGACCTGGGCACCATAGTGAGACCCCATCTCTACTTATAATAATAATAAAAATAATTAGCCAGCCATGTTTGTGCATGCCTGTAGTCCCAATTACTTGGGAAATTGAGGTGGGAGGATCGCCTGAGCCCAGAAGTTGGAGGCTGCAGTAAGCTATGATCAGGCCACTTCACTCCAGACTAGGCAACAGAGCAAGGCCTTGTCTCAGAAAAAGAAAAAGAAAAAGAAAAAGAAAAAGAAAAGGGTGCACTTAGCCTAGCCAGGAGTATGTGTGGTAGAGATATATCTGAGTGTTTGTGTATGTGTATGTGTGGAGGCAGGGGGCAGAGTATCAGGGAAGACTTTCTCCTAGAGAAGATGATAGTCAAGAAGACAAAACGATTATCAAAGGTCCTATTAGAATGTGCTTTTTATATATGCAGTCTGTCATTGACTGAAAGTCATTATGTGGCACGTGAACTGTATATCCTCTTGTTTCAAAGAGGTCACTGTTGTTCAGTCTAAGCACTGAACAAACACACCCACAGACAAAAGCATAAAAGTTACAGTGAGACGCAAGCATGAGAGGACTCCCCTCTCCCGTCTTCAAGTGGGAACATCAGAGCTTGCTCCCCTAAAGAGTTAATGGCTTACATAATCTGTGTCTTCAATTTCTCCACCTCAGCTTGCATATACGGGCACTCGTATATACCTGTATACAAATATACACAACTTTTCTTGTTTCTTATATATGGCTTGAGGCCTCTTATTTAAAAGTGTTTTGGAAAATCAGTCTGGATTTCAAAAAGCAGATTGATGCATAATCTCTACTGCTTGGAAATAGTCCTACGTGGGACACCTGATATGCATGTTTCTAATAATTGGCATTGTAACTTTTATAGAAGTTTCTTGCTAATTACCATGAAGGAAGAGGAAATTTCTTCATACCTAAGTATACAGGTATATGCAATATATTTTAAAACTATATTTTTAATATTAGTTTTTAAATAGTTTTCAGAGATTTAAAAACTGCCATGTCTGTGTTTGGGACATTTGGCTCAGATTAACAGGAAGGGAATTTAGGTTGAATTAGAACACAATTCTTTTAAATGATTCTCAAACCTCACTGATATAATAAACAAATGTAAATATGAATACCAGTTTTGCTGATCATAGCCAGACTATATAAAGCAATTTCCTTTTAAGAGTTGTTTTAGCATTCATTTATATATATTTTTTTAAAAAAATAAAAGATATATTTTAATTGTCCCAAACTCCCAGAAATCTATAGGGGCAGAAACCCCAATGCTTGAAATCTAAGGATTTTTAAGTGTTGAATGTTTCCATCATCTCGTCTTTTCTCTTTGCAGCAGTTGTCAAGACTAATTGCCTTTTCTTGGGTAACTAGGGCCAAATAAATGCCCTCTTACAAAAACAGAACACAGGAGGATGGTAACCAGTTTGGTGACCGGAGTAAGTGTGTGCTATGAAATGGGTAAAAAGGGCAGTTAGGAAACAAGAGGAAAGGTGTTTGCTTCCTGACCTGTATGACTGATGTCAGGGAGGCATTCAGGGAGCTTCTTCCACCAGAGTTTAATACCAATCATCCCAACGTTTTTGACCTTGCATGACTTTTTAAAATAAAATAGGGTTAATTGATTTATTTATAAAAATAGAAAGAATGAATAACCTTACCATGTCAACAATCTTCATTTCTAAAAATATATTTTTGTGACTCTTTGCTAGACTTGAACACAATCAGATTTTGCTTTAAAAATAGTTGCTTTTGGAGGCATTAGTTGAGCCTGTCATTTTTTTAATTTGCATACTTATTGACAACTTTACCTCACTAAAATGTAAGCTCTGTGAGAAGACGGACCTTGTCTGTCTTGTTCTTCATAGAATTTAGATAGAACACCCACCTTGCGCATGGGAGGATTTTCAATAAATGTTTGTTGAATAAGAGTGTGAGGGAATAAATGAATGAATGAATAAATTAATGCTTACTTTTGAAACATGTCTTCATTGTTCTTTGTAATATATTCTGCATCTTTCCCCACAGAGTACAGAATGCACTTAAGTATAATATCAGATTTCCTTTCTGTTATACATTGGAACTATTCCATGTGTCATCCTTAAAGATACATTACAGTTAATAAGATATGGCAAAAAGTTATCATCAGAAACTGGCCTTTTAGTGGTCAAATTAGAGATATGTTTTGCATTTTCTTGTGCATTTTAAATACAAATATTCCTACATTTGTTATAACTCAATGTAAATTGATGAAAAAATCACTCAAGAGCTTGTTTAACTTAAAAATATCTAGGTAATTGAAGTACTAAACTAATTGCACAAAATTCAAAAAGGCAGCATTTGCTAGGTATCTCAGAAGTAAGCAAAGGCTATTTGTTGTTAGGTTAATCTTCTCTATCCCCTGAGCTTACCTCTTACCCCTCTTTGATTTAAGTTGATAGTTGCTCTTAAGGCACAAATTTTCTTGTTTCTTACATACGGCTTGAGGCCTCTTATTTAAAAATGATTTGGAAAATCAGTCTGGATTTCAAAAAGCAGATTGATGCATGATGTCTACTGCTTGGAAATGGTCCTCCATGGAACTCCTGATATGCGCGTTTCCAGTAATTGGCATTGTAACTTTTGTAGAAGTTTCTTGCTAATTACTATGAAGGAAGAGGAAATTTCTTTAGACTTAAGACTGTCAGTCCCCATTCAAATGTCTGATTGGGTGGTTCTTCACCATGTTTCACTTCAGAATCCCTGTAGCATGTGCAGTTAAAAAATACAGCTGCCCCTGAAGATTTTGCTCAATGTATTTAAGGAAAGAATAGACGGATGATCATACCTAGTTGATGAATCCTATTTTAGGGTCACACTAGTAATATTAACCATAGATGGATCTCATAGTAATGATGACCAATATTTCATGATGAGACCCGATGAGACAAGCGATGTGATAGTGAACAAAAGGCAGTTTTATTTACATATTGAACTTACACTAATTATTGTTATCCATAATAATTCCTACCATTTGTTGAGCACTCACTAAGTGTTAAGGGGACCAAGACTAGTCATGAATTGTCATCTCATTTAAAAACAAAAACAGATGAAAAGAAGGAGTATTTCATATAGGAAGAGGCTAAATAACTTGGCTAGGAGAAAAAAAATCCACTAATTGATGAAATAGATTCAAGAAAGAGTCTGCCTGTGCCCAATCTGTACCTCTATTCACTATACACACATCCTCCTAGTGTCTTTCCCCAATGAGGGACAAAATCAGTATAGAACAGGCTCATACCAAGGTCATATCCACGCCATGAATTTATACTCTAGGTGACCAACAAGTGATACCTTAATGAGTAGGTAGGTATATGCACAGTCACTGTGTTTTCTCAACAAAATATTGGGCTACTTTTACTGAAAATGGGACAGAATCTTTTAAATCAGATGATTCTGAACATTCTGGGACACACATCAATAAGTACATGATAAATAGCAGACGGAAGGAAGAGACCACAGATGGAAGGCAGGTCAGTAGAAAAAGAGAACATTCTAAGCTGATGGCAAGCCAGGGTTATAGGACACTTGAGACTGACTTGATGTACCATGACATCTTACAGTCTCCTGGTATTCTCTGGCCAGGCCTAAAAACAGAACAGAATGCAGCTGTTTTCTTATAACTCACTGAAAATTATTTTAGGCTGGGCGCAGTGGCTCACGCCTGTAATACCAGCACGAGATGGGCAGATCACAAGGTCAGGAGTTCAAGACCAGCCTGGCCACCATGGTGAAACCCTGTCTCTACTAAAAATACAAAAATTAGCTGAGTGTAGTGGCAGGCACCTGTAATCCCAGATATTCAGGAGGCTGAGGCAGGAGAATCATTTGAACCTGGGAGGTGGAGGTTGCGGTGAGTAGAGTTCAAACCATGGCACTCCAGCCTGGGCGACAGGGCTAGACTCTGTCAAAACAAACAAACAAACAAAAAATTATTTTATATAAAAGTCCCTGAGAAATTTTTAAAAAGTAGTTTCTGAGTCAGGTATCCTGAGTTTCCAGTCACAAAAAATTTAAACAAGAGAAGAAATACTATGCTGAAACCATGTTGCTTTAAAATGATGAACTGTGTTTTACATAAAACAAAGCTTTGTTTAAAAAAAAACCTGTAAGAATGCAATTTGCCAGTAAGTTGTGGTGAGGTATGAAGTGATATGGAAAATTGATATTATAAGACCTTATTCTGTTTATCAATATATAATTATGAGGTAATTTACAATAATGCAGTTATTGATTTACCTTCACCTATGTGCCTTCAGAGGATATTTATACTTTAGAAATGAAATTTAACTAAATTATTGGATAAACATTACCACTGAGCAATCCTAATTAGAAAACAAATGCCGATGCAAAGATCATGTTTTATCTTGGGACTCCTCTGATCCCAATATAGCTGCCTTTTTAATAGATTCATGTTGCCATGGCGTAGCAACTGGGAATAGCTCATATCTGTTCTATTGAGGTGAGCCTCATTCTTCAGCACATGGTAAATGAAAAAACATTCTATATTTCCCCTGAAATGCTTCCACACTTCACAAAAATAAAGAATAGCAGCTGGACTGCTAGGTCAGAAGTTATGGAGAGTTACATGTGAGCTTGCCTCAACAGTGGATTCACTCAAAACTCAATCATTGAGAAGGAAAAAAATGAAGGAAGGAAGGAAGGGAGGGAGGGAGGGAGGGAGGGAGGAAGGAAGGAAGGAATCCAGGCACGGTGGCTCATGCCTGTAATCCCAGCACTTTGGGAGGCCGAGGCAGGTAGATCACCTGAGGTCAGGAGTTTGAGACCAGCCTGGCTAACATGGTGAAACCCCTCTACTAAAAATACAAAAATTAGCCAGGCATGGTGGCTCACGCCTGTAATCCCAGCTACTCAGGAGGCTGAGGCAGGAGAATCACTTGAACCCGGGAGCCCAGGAGGTGGAGTTTGCAGTAAGCCGAGATCGCACCGATGCACTCTAGCCTGGGTGACAGAGTGAGACTCTGCCAAAAAAGAAAAAAAAGAAAAGAAGAAGAAAGGAAATGAGAGCACCATGAAAAGAAGAAGAAAAAAAAAACCTTTTGAAAACACAGTTTGGGATATGCAATCATGTCTCATTTTGAATAATAATAAAAAAGACATTATCGTAGTATTTATTGGATTATTACCAAGTGCAAGGACTTCACTGTTGTGTCTTCATTTATTTTGTTTTTGAGGGAGGTATTATCCCTCTTTGTACTTTCCGAAGTACAAAGTGTATTTGGCAGATGAGATGACCAAAATGTGGAGGTTTAAAAACATAAAGTCAGGATTTGAACCCAGACAATCTAGCTGTAGATTTTGTGTCCTTAGTCACTGTGCATTGATGTCTCACTGTATTTTAAAATGTAGTTGGTGTTGGCAAGGGAAGTATGAATTAAACCAGCACTAGGGCATGTGTTAGAAATCTGAATGCAAATTCCTTCTGAAGTTTGATGAGGATAACTGGTGGACAAAACTTCAATTTAGAGCCTAACTATTCCTTGTGACTACTGTCTTCAATATGCAAATATGTCAACAGGTACTCACCACAAAGCAGGCATAATCACTGACATAGGGTGTAGAGACTGCACTCGTGAATTTAAGCAAAAAAAATTTTTAAAAATCACAAAAAATAGGCTAAAAATGTTATAATTTGAAAGAGGAACAATAATTTAACTGACCTTCTAGAAGTGCCAAACTAAGCTCTAGGGATATCAATTCGAAAGTAAAATAAAGAAAATGATTTCAAAGTTGAGTTCAGAAAGGCAAGTAGTCTTCTGAATGTAACTTTGTTATTTCTCTAAAAATGGCTGGTCACATTTCTTTGTATCTTGGAAAAGTCAGTTTTATAAGATTAGATCAGAACCATAGGAGACAAGAGTTACCTTATGTTCCTAATAATGAAGAATGCAACCAGGGCC
Source organism: Homo sapiens (assembly GCF_000001405.40). Taxonomy (NCBI): domain Eukaryota; kingdom Metazoa; phylum Chordata; class Mammalia; order Primates; family Hominidae; genus Homo; species Homo sapiens. The sequence goes on along the minus strand of NC_000006.12, from coordinate 8,923,796 downwards.
GGGTACAGTGGCTCACATCTATAATCCCAACACTTTGAGAGGCTGAGGTAGGAGGATTGCTTGAGCCCAGGAGTTCGAGAACAGCCTGAGCAACATGGTGAGATGCAGTCTCTAAAAAAAAATAAAAAATTAGCCAAGAGTTGTGGTGCACACCTGTAATCCCAGCTACTTGGGAGGCTGAGGTGAGAGAATTGTTTGAACCTGGGAAGTCGACACTGCAGTGAGCTGTGACTACATCATTACACTCCAGCCTGGGTGACAGAGAAAGGCCCTGTCTCAAAAAAAAAAAAAAAAGCCACCAGAAGGGAAAAAGAATAATAGTCTATGATTTATAAATGAATGGGCTTGGAAATTAGACTACTCAGGGGTTTTATTTGCTAGATATGAGACTTGAAACAAGTAACACACCCTTGCTAAGCCTCCCTTTAAATTGAGAGACCATAATAACAAAATATTAATTTATGTAAGAAGCAAATAAGATCTCACATTTGAAAGTAAGTAATTAGATGCTGGATGTAAGTTGTGCGTCCTTTGTTTTCACTTAAAACTTAAGGTCAAAGGGTTGCAGCTCCTACTTAATCAATCCTTGATGGCTAGGAGCAAAAAGGACTCCAATCTTGGTGCATCCTTAAGATTACAGAATCAGGAGTTAACAAAAATGCTAGCATAACTGTACAGCCAATGTGAAATCCATTACCTGTTCAAATCTTGACCATCATTGGGACAGAAACTCAGATCTTTGGGTGGAAATGACTCTAGCTCTGATGGTGCTGAATGCTTCCTCAGCTTCCCTAAGATTTTCCAAGCTGTGCCCTCTAGCAATAGGTGATAGGCTTATTATATCTCACACATGAGAATCCCTCAAAAGACCTGAAAGATTTATTTCCTCTATGTTAAAAAAAAGTTTTTGTTTGTTTGTTCGACTTTATAAAGTAATATGCCTTTCAGGAACATCAACATGTCACCCACATTCCTCTTGTGATATTCTACTTTCCCAATATTCTTTTTATAGACAGAGGCTACTATAAACCACAGAGTATTCATATATTGAATTATTTTCCCTCAATTTACATGTTACCAACAAGAATCCTAGAATTTCTATTCAATATTCCATATCCCAGGAAGGGGCAATCTGGCATGCACAGCAAGGTACTCCTACTTAACAAAATTCTCTAAAGTTTGTGCCCACGTAGACACATTGCATTAAGTGCTAATTCCTTATACACTTTCTCAAAAACTCTTTGAAATTTCCAGTTTCCACTCTGACATGTAAAGAGCTTGGTATCATTACTTCTGTCTTCATAACAAGACAAAAGCTGAACAAACTGAAAATCAACAACTCTTCTTAAATCAGATAGAGAATTGAGGTCAAGGGCAAACTATTATCTTGAAATTTGCAGAAATCATTGTTTCAAAGAATCACAGCTTAATGGGACCCAGAAGCTTCTAGAGCCAGAAACAGGTAGAAATGCAAACGGTATTTTAGGAATTGCTAGAAGATGAATATGGACTCGCTTGAGAACACAAAGGATTTTTAGAGCAGTGAAAGTATTCGATACGATACCGTAATGGTGGACACATGACATTCTGCATTGGCAAAACATATAAAATTGTATAAGGCAAACAATAATTCCTAATGTAAACTAAGGAGTACAGTTAATAATAATGTGCCAATATTTGTTCATCAATTGTAACAAATATACCATATGAATAGATGCTAACAGGAGAAATGTAAAGGGAAACAGATTGTATTGTCTGCTCAGGTTTTATAGAAATATAAAACTGTTCTAAAAATGAAGTCCATTAATGACAAAAAAAAAAACTCATTGAATACGTGTTGACTGTTTGAATTAAGAGGAGAAACTCAAGAAAAGCCCATGCACTCCTTTCCTGCTGATCACCAAGTAGCAGTGAAAAGTAGCATCTTGCCACAGTTCTGGAAAATTAGTGGCTGAAGAAATCCTCCCAGTGAATTCATGCTCATTGTCAGCAAGAAATTTAACCTGATGTATCCTCCATCTAAAACCCACACTGTTAATTTGCAAACACCTCACAACCTGCTAAAATAAGCATAATTCCAATGATGGGGAGAATATACCCATTATTTAGACAACAAAGAGAAGAGTTGAAATTACGTAAAGTTTCTCTGCATTAGAAATATCTGGATTAGTCCAGGCAGGGTGGTTCACACCTCTAATCCCAGCACTTTGGGAGGCCGAGGTGGGTGGGTCACTTGAGGTCAGGAGTTCGAGACCAGCCTGGCCAACATGGTGAAACCCCATCTCTACTAAAAATACAAAATTTAGCTGGGCATGGTGGTGCATGCCTGTAATCCCAGCTACGCGGGAGGCTGAGGCAGGAGAATCACTTGAACTCGGGAGGCAGAGATTGCCCTGAGCTGAGATAGTGCCACTGCACTCAAGTCTGGGTGACAGAGCGACACTCTGTCTCAAAAAAAAAAAAAGAAAAAAAGAAAAAAAAGAAATGTCAGGGTTAGTAGTGACTCCCTTAAGACTCTCAACGAAGTAGAACTTGGCTATGGTGCAAATGCAGCCCATAGAACTTAAGAATCATCGGCAGGTGGTTAAGAACGTGGGCTTGAGTTTGAATTAGGTTTTGTCAATTACTAATTGTGTGGCTCTCGCAGGTTGCGCAGTATTTCTGAGACTATTTTCTTATCTGCAGAATGAGAGTAATACTATCTTTAGTACAGGGTTTTATTATTAAGTGAAATAATGTATGTACATTAATGACTGGCATGTAATAAGTATACAATAAACAGTAGCTACTATTTGGATCTGAAAGAAACTTAGAGACTTTAAAGTTGGAAAAGTAAAGTTTAGATATATAAAATTACTTTTGAAGATCGTAAAGCAAAGCCATTTGTAGGGCACTTGCTGTGCTTTTATTGAGCACAGTTACTGGGCAGTTGCAGGAATAAAGAAAAAAAGAAAAAAAATCACATTTTCTTTCCTGAATTAAGATCGACTTTAAAAAGTTGTCATTTTTGACTCTGACACACTGCATGCTTTTGAAATTATCATTATACTTTGAGTTCTGGGGTACATGTGCAGAACGTGCAGGTTCGTTATATAGGTATACATGTGCCATGGTGGCTTGCTGCACCCATCAACCCATCATCTACATTGGGTATTTCTCCTAATGCTATCCCTTCCCTAACCCCCAACCCCCCAACAGGCCCTGGTGTGTGATGTTCCCCTCCCTGTGTCCATGTGTTCTCATTGTTTGACTCCCACTTATGAGTGAGAACATGCTGTGTTTGGTTTTCTGTTCTTGTGTTAGTTTGCTGAGAATGATGGTTTCCAGCTTCATCCATGTCCCCACAAAGGACATAAATTCATCCTTTTTTATGGCTGCATAGTATTCCATGGTGTATATGTGCCACATTTTCTTTATCCAATCTATCATTGATGGGCATTTGGGTTGGTTCCAAGTCTTTGCTCTTGTGAACAGTGCTGCAATAAACATACGTGTGCATGTATCTTTATTGTAGAATGATTTATAATCCTTTGGGTATATACCCAGTAATGGGATTGCTGGGTCAAATGGTTTTTCTAGTTCTAGATCCTTGAGGAATCACCACACTGTCTTCCACAATGGTTGAACTAATTTACACTCCCACCAATAGTGTAAAAGCATTTCTATTTCTCCACATCCTCTCCAGCATCTGTTGTTTCCTGACTTTTTAATGATTGCCATTCTAACTGGCGTGAGATGGTATCTCATTGTGGTTTTGATTTGCATTTCTCTAATGACCAATGATGATGAGGTTTTTTTTCATGTGTTGGTTGGCTGCATAAATGTCTTCTTTTGAGAAGTGTCTGTTCCTATCCTTTGCCCACTTTTTGATGGGGTTGTTTGGTTTTTTCTTGTAAATTTGTTTAAGTTATTTGTAAATTCTGGATATTAGCTCTTTGTCAGATGGATAGATTGCAAAATTTTTCTCCCATTCTGTAGGTTGCCTGTTCACTCCGATGATAGTTTCTTCTGCTGTGCAGAAACTCTTTAGTTTAATTAGATCCCATTTAAAACCAAATAACAGGCAGAATAATTTCCTCTGCATTGTTTCCTGTTCTCTCCATTAATTCTCTCATCTTTCTAGCACAAAGCCTTGGGAAAAGTGGCTCAGCGAAGGGGCTCTTGGAAATACTGTCATGGGGTGGCTTGTGCACTTTTCCAGCTCAGGGGAAGACTCTAAGCTGCTTCTTTTCAGTCTTATTCAAATGGGAGGAAATGTAGGGAGGTTTTCATTTCTACACTTACCAAGTGTTTCAGGGTTCCATCTTGCATTTTATGGGATTATACATGTCCTGAGATATAGAAAGTAGGATTGTCTCCTAGCATAATTTATGGCATAGTTTTTACCATTTTAACTACCATCCCACACTGTGAATAAATGATGGTGATTCATTTGTATCAAAACTCATGCAAGTTCACAGGCAAAAATATTACTAGTTACTTATCTCTAGAACTATACTTGTAGGTAAACTGAAGGATTCTGTGATAGCACAGATTTTTCCTGGCCAATGTGCCTAGCTCTTTCTCATCCTTCAGATCTCTGCTGAAATGTAGTATCCTAAAGATTGCTTATGAAATATAATCCCCTTCTCCATTTCCCAATACCAGGCAGTTTCTATCATTCTACTCTGCTTGTTTCCATCATTTGAACTTTCTAAACTTTACAGTTATACATTTATTTGTTCATTTCCTTGTTTGTTACCACTCTCTTATGTTAATTTGTAAACTCTCTGATAGTAAGGGCCGTTTGTTTTATTCACCAAAATGTGTGTAGCTCCCTTCACATTACCTGACACACAGTGGCACTCCATTATACCTATTAATTGATTAATTGAATGAATGAATGAACTTGCAATGGCACCATGTCCAATATTCTCCCAGTTAGAGAAAATATACATCTCCTAGCTTAGGACTCAAGCAACTTAAACCATCAACTTCCCCCTGTATTCCAAGAAGCTGCCATAGTCCTTTATTCTGCCTTCAGTTTATCTAATCAAGGTTTTTAAATCCACAAGTTATTGTTGATTAGTACCTGGTGAAAAACAAAATAAAGTAGCCTTCTCATACATAACAGAGAAAACAAAACTTGGATATAAACATATAATCAAATAAATATTGACAGCTTATAGTAGTATTTCTCCTTGAATATTTTAAGAATCACATTTATAATAAAATGAAGTTAAAATTATTTACCAATTAAGATTCATTCAACCAACAGATGATCTGGCACAGATAATACAATAACATATAATACAAGTTGATGTAAAGGTTTCAGTGGTTGATCTATGAATGTGACAAGACACCGTTACTGGAAATTGAGTTTCTTAAAATTAAAACAAAAAGGTTTGGGATATTAGTAATATTTGTAGTCAATAGTAAGCAGATAAAAGTTTCATAATGACGTATTAGTCAAGAGTTTTCTTTTTCTAAATGACCAATGCATCATGTAGTAAAACATTATTTTTTATGATTAACTATTGCAGAAACATTTTATCTGAAATCATTTGCTATTATTTAATATAGAAACCCCTCTGATACTATAAGGGAGAGTTGACAATGGCAGAGGGGTTTTGAAAGATTATTTTTAATATTTGGCATAATAGCCTATAATGGTTCCTATGACTCTGATCACTCACAAATTGAATTAAAACCAAGTAAATTTGAATCCTTTCATATTGCTTTAACAGTTCATATTTTGTGTTGCTTTTATAGTTATAATTTCATGTGGCCCTGGGTTTGTCTTCTAAAATTTCTCAATTGTTTTCAGCTCCCAGAAATACCATAGTTATTATTTTAAAGGAAAGTTTTCTAACTTGCATTAAAAAAAAAACAAAACTCTTGAGATAGTGGAAATACTTTTAGCCTTAGCTGCCAAATAGTATATGGGATTTGTGGAAAGGAAGGCCAAGAAGAACGTATGTAAGTGACATTTGTGATTGCTATAAAACTATGAGCAAGCCCAAAGGCAGAAATTAGTGTGATATTTGAGTGGATATAAAGGAAATAAGAGCAAATAAATTGAGAGTAGTTGTACGGAATAATTGGGAGAAAGTTATAAAAACAAGACTGATAAATAGTATTACAAGAATAACATCTAGACACAGCATATTAAGAGCTCAAATTTTTACTACATAGAGATCTAATTTCTGTAATATCGAGGTCTAGGATTTTTCTGACCCTTTTGCTAAAAAAAAAATAAAATATTTTGAAAATGTCTGGTGGGAGAAATGTTCTTGGCTCTCTTTTTTTGTATTTTAAATTTTATTGTAAATTGACAATTTATAATTGTATATACTTATCAAGTACAAAGTAATGCTACTATTTATAAATACAATGTTGAATAATTAAATTAAGGTAATTAATATATCCACCACCTTAAATACTTAACAATTTTGTTGTGGTGAGAACATTTGAGACTCACTCTCGCAGCAATTTTGAAATACACAATACACTCTTATTAGCTATATTTGCCAGGCTATGCTGTAGGTCTCAAAAAACACACCTTATTTCTCTCATTTAAGACTTGGTGTTCTTTGATCATCATCTCCCCATTCCTCTCACTCTGCAGCCTCTGTTAACCACCATTTGACTCTCTTTATACAGGTTTGATTGTGTTAGATTGCACATGTAAGTAAAAACATGTTTGTCTTTCTGCACCTGGCTTATTCCACTTGGCATAATTTTCTCTAATTCCATCCATGTCATCATGAATGACAACATTTTCTTCTTTTTAAAACTAAATATGATTCAATTGTGTGTATATACCACATCTTCTGAGGTACTTTAGTACCTAAGACTAGTCAAAGAATTCTTATGCTTCATGCTGAAAGCATAATCCATAAAAGAAACAATTGACAAATTGGACTTTATCAAACTTACAAGATTTTGCTCTGCAAATGACTTGTTAAGAGAATGAAAAGACAAATTTTAATATAATTATCACTACACATCTATTAGAATAACTCATATAAAAAACAATGATAACACTAACTGCTGGCAACTATACAGAAAAGCTGGCTCACTCATATATAACTGGCAAAATGGTGCAGTCACTCAAAAAATAGTTTGGAAAGTTTTTTTTATATAAAAAATGAACTTCCATAAAATCAGCAATTGTACTCTTGGCCATTTATCACAGAGAAATAAAAACCCAATTTTTATGCAGAAATGTGTACATGGATGTTTATAGCAACTTCATTTGTAACATCCCAAACCAGGAAAGTACCCAGATGTTCTTTAATGAGTGAATGTTTAGACAAACTGTAGTATATTCATACCACGGAAGACTAGTTTAAGTTCCACACTGATATCTTAGGTTATTTATTTGAAAATTTTGAAATTCAATTTGAAATCTATTATACCAATCTCCTCTCCCCTCCCTTTCCATGTGTGTTCTTAAATATTATAAATTCAATGGAACAATGTTTTCTTGTTGGCTAATTCAATATCTGACCAATAAAAGCCTATCCAAGATTGTTTTGTGATAGTTATAAAGCATGGATAAATATTGCCAAATGCCAGGAAAAATCAGGCATCGTATTTCCAATGTGATAAATTAACTTAGAATTTGAGATTTGCAATGAAAACACACACACAAACACACACACTTTTCAAAATTTCTCTGTCTGTGTTCAAATTATTTGATCCAACAAAATCTAGAATTTGGTCAAGTGAGTTATTGTAGATAAATATCAAAAATGCACTATTTTTGCATTTTAATATCCATTTCTATCCTGTTTTACAAATAGACAGAAAAATAAGCATTCTTTATTCCCACCTTGACATCATGATCAAAGCAGAACCATTCACTAACTTAGTGGGTATGACTGAAGAGACCTCAGTAGTTTCAAAATTTCTCTCTCATCAATACATCATCATAGTCTGCCTGAAATTCTCATCGCGTTTGTTTGTTTCTTCCTTTGGCTTAAATTTCTGCTGGTGTTTAAAGTGTAAATACATTATTTACCAGGGGCAGGATGCTATAGTAAAAATATTACCCAACCAAACTTGGTTCTAGTCCTAGTTCTGCCACAATTAAGTTACAGGATTTTGGAAAAAATACCACTTCATCAAATTTGCTTTCTGACAATGATATGGACCAAGTTAGCGGTTTGTGAACTGTTTCTTTGGCCAAGACACACTTTTTTCTACTAAAATCTTGTGAGACAGGCTAGAACATAAAAGAGTTAGAAACAAAGCCACCATGGAAGAAGCAGACTTAGAAGCCAGGATCCAGAAGCTCAGTCTTCCTTTGCTTCCTCTACTGGCCCCGGCACCAACTTCTAGAACACAGTTTAAAGGACGCTAAATCAGATGATCTCTAGGAATCTTTTACAGTTTTCAATTGTGTGGGTGACTGTATAGAGAAGAGGAGAATGATAGGGTGATTTCAAAGGGATGCACAGAATTTTAAAGCTCCAGGGACGAGCCAGGGGCCTAGCTGCTGGAGATGAGAAGGAAATGGGGAGTGGGCCGTCCTGTGCTTGTTCCACTGCGGTCTGTACCAGCCCTTTACTGGAATTGCATGACATCACCCCCAGACAGGTATTCCCATTCTAGTACAGCCTGGGACAGCACCTGAGAAGCACCAGCATTTCGTGGTTGGGCAGAAAAAAACTATAAAATAGAGGGAGAGGGCAGAAACAAGTAGATGCTAGAAAATGCCCTCCTCCTGTTTACACTCTGTGTGAAATCCCCCAAAGAAGGAGATCAGAATGCTAACAGAAAAGGATCAGGAGAAAATAAAGAGGCAACAAGAAATTGCTATAGCGATCATCTACATATTGCTCCGTAGACACTGGAGCTGAGAGCAGAAAGTGAGCGTTTTCTTGGTCAGTTCCGCCACCACAGGGGTGCTAGTCATAAGAAGCCTCCTCTCCATGGTTCCAGCCAGAAGGCTTCGAGTCATGTAAAGAACATGTTGATGCGTAACAATCAGCTGGTTCTCAAAGCTGAAGATGATCGTGGCAGTTTAATACAACCCTGACTGAAATTGAGATTTATGATCTGGCAGATGGAACTTCGGCTAGCATTTGCTAGGATTCGACTTTGACAATAAAAAAGTAGAGAACAGCAGTGACACCTGAACTATTCAGTTCTTGTGAGAGGAAATTCCTATTGGACAAACAGCTCCTTACCAAAAAAAGATGAGAAGATTTAGGGGAAAAATGTTATTATTTAGGAGACGAAGGGCTAAAGATCAATGACAACAGCATATTTTGTGACAAGAATGGTCATGCTTTAACTCAAAATAATTATATATTTTACTGTACAATTATTTTTGAATTCAAGAACAGCCTTCATGTATTACATTTTAAAAGCTGACAGTTTTCAAAATGTTTTGATGGAGGGTTTATAAGTCCAAAACTTCTAATGTTGATGGTTATTTCACTTGAATAATATTCTTATTATTGGATTATGTGGCCAAGGAATTTGGTAAGGGTAGGGAGTGGAGTCCTCCTATAATTGGTAGAGTTAAAAACAAACCAAAGAGCAAAAGATACAGCATAATTATATAGATGAACTGTGGAAATGATCTCTGGCCAGCAAGCAACCTTTTTGTTTTTATTTTCCAACTTTTATTTTAGGTTCAAAGAGTACATGTGCAGGTTTGTTATGTGTAAGTTGCATATGGCAGGGGTTTGGTGTACAGACCCCAATTCTGTGACCCATGTAATCAGCATAGTGCCCAATAGGTAGCTTTTCAATGCTCGCCCTCCTCCCACCCTCCACCCTCAATAGCCCCCAATGCCCATTGCTTCCTTCTTCTTATCTATGTGTTCTCAATGTTTAGCTCCTGCTTGTAAGTGAGAACATGCAGTATTTGGCTTTCTGTTCCTGCATTAATTCTTTTAGTACCATGGCCTCCAGCTCCATCCATGTTGTTGCAAAGGACATGACCTTGTTCTTTTTTATGAATGCGTAGTATTCCATGATGTATATGAATCACATTTTCTTTCTCCAGTCCACCACTGGGGGGCATCTAGGTTGATTCCATGTCTTTGCTGTTGTGAACAGTGCTGCGATGAACATCCATGTGCACATGTCTTTATTGTAGAATGATTTATATTTCTCTGGATATGTACCCAGTAATAGGATTGCTGGGTGGAATGATAGTTCTATTTTAAGTTCTTTGAGAAATCCCCAGACTGTTTTCCACAGTGGCTGAACTAATTTACATTCCCACCAGCAGTGTGTAAGCAATTTCTTTCCTCCACAACTAGCTGGTTATTTTTTGACGTTTTAATGATAGCCATTCTGACTGGTGTGATATGGTATCTCATTGTGGTTTTAATTTGCAGTTCCCTAGTGATCAGTGATATTGAGCAGTTTTTCATATGCTTGCTGGCTGAGTGTATGTCTTCTTTTGAGAAGTGTCTGTTTATGTCCTTTGCCCACTTTTTAGTGGGGTTGTTGTTTTTTGCTTGTTGATTTAATTTTCTTATAGATTGTGGTTATTAGGTCTTTGCTGGATGCATAGTTTGCAAATACCTTCTTCCATTCTGTCGGTTATCTGTGTACTCTATTGATGTTTCTTTTGCTGTGCAGGTGCTCCTTAATTTAATTAGGTTCCACTTGTCAATTTGTGCTTTTGTTGCTATTGTTTTGGAGTCTTCATTATGAAATGTTTGCCAGGACAGATGCGCATAATGGTATTTCCTAGGTTTTCTTCTGTGGTTTTTATCATTTTAGTTTTACCATGTAAGTCTTTAGTCTATCTTGAGTTGATTTTTGAATATGGTGAAATATAGGGATCCAGTTTCAATCTTCTGCATATGGGGCTAGCCAGTTATCCCAACACCATTTATTGAATACACTGTTCTTTCCTCATTGATTTTTATTGTTGGCTTTGGCAAAGCTAAGATGATTGTAAGTGTGTGGCTTCATTTCTGGGTTCTCTAACCTGTTCCATTGGTCTATGTGTCTCTTTTGTACCATTGCCATGCTGCTTTAGTAACTGTAGTTTTGTAGTATAGTTTGAAGTCAAGTAGCAGGATGTGTCCAGCTTTGTTCTTTCTTCTTAGGATTGCTTTGGCTGTTCTGGCTCTTTTTTGGTTCCAAATGAATTTTAGAAATTTTTTTTCTAATTCTCTGAAAAATGTTATTGGTAATTTGATAAGAATAGCATTGAATTTTTAAATTGCTTTGGGCAGTATGGCCATTTTAACAATATTGATTCTTCCTATCCGTGAGCATGGTATGTTTTTCCATTTGTTTATATCATCTCTAATTTATTTTGTATTTATCTAAATACAAAAGATATTTATCTAAATACAAAAGCAACACAGGTTACTTCCAAATTTTGGCTATTTTGAATAGTGCTGCAACAAACATGGGAGTACAAATACCTCTTTAATACATTTATTTTCTTTCTTTTGAGTATACACCAAGCAGTGGGATTGCTAGATCATATGGTGGCTCTATTTTTAGTTTTTTGAGGAACTTTCAAACTGTTCTCCATAGTGCTTGTACTAATTTACATTCCCACCAACAGTGTACAAGGGTTCCCTTTTCTCCACATCCTCACCAGCATTTGTTATTGCCTGTCTTTTGGATATAAGCCATTTTAACTGGGGTAAGATGATATCTCACTATAGTTTTGATTTACATTTCTCTAACAATCAACGATGTTGAGCACCTTTTCATATGTCTGTTTACCATTTGAATGTCTTCTTTTGAGAATTGTGCATTCAAATCTTTTGCTCATTTTTTGATTGGATTATTAGGTTTTTTTCCTATAGAGTTTTTTGAGCTCCCTATGTATTCTGGTTATTAATCCCTTGTCAAAGGGGTAGTTTGCAAATATTTTCTCCCATTCTGCAGGTTGTCTCTTCAGTTTGTTGTTTCTTTTGCGGTGCAGAAGCTTTTTAACTTGATGAGTTCCCATTTATCCATTTTTGCTTTGGTTGCCTGTGCTTATGGAGTACTGCTCTAGAAATTTCTGCCCAGATCCATGTTCTGGAGAGTTTCCTGTATGGTATTTTTGGAGTAATATCATATTTTGAGTTCTTATATTTAATTCTTTAATTCAGTTTGATTTGAGGTTTGTATATGGCAAGAGATAGGGCTCTAGTTTCACTTCGTTCCAGTTTTCCCAGCACCATTTACTGAAGAGACTGTGTTTTCCCCAGTGTATGTTCTTAGCAGCTTTGTCAAATATGAGTTCACTGTAGGTATGTGGATTTGTTTCTGGGTTCTCTGTTCTGTTGCATTGGTCTATGTATCTGTTTTTATGCCAGTACCATGCTGTTTTGACTGTTATAGCTCTGTAGTACAATTTGAAGTCAGGTAATGTGATTCCTCCATTGATGTTATTTGTTTCTTTTCTCTTGTTGTTTTTAGGGTCCTTTCTCTATTCGTAACCTTTGGGACTTTGATTATTAAAAATAATAAAGAGGTAGCCTTCTTTGAGTTAAATCTGCTTGATGTTCTATAACCTTCTTGTACTTCCCAACTTCTTTGGGAAGTTCAATGTTATTTTCCCTTTCAATAAACTTTCTACCCCTATCTCTTTCTCTACCTCCTCTTAAAGAACAATAACTCTTAGATTTGCCCGTTTAAGACTAATTGTAATTGGCTATTTTACAAATGGATATTAACAGTGAATCACCTTATCTAGTACATTTTCAAGGAGCCAATATAATTTTTAAACTTTTGTGTTAGGCTGTTAATAACCAGTATCCTATTAATATGATTTTCATTTCTTTCCAAATTACTGACAGAAGCCCTTAGCAGTCCCAGAAAAAATACATTCAGGATAATTTGATATGGAAAACGATGGGTAATTCTTAATCATTTATTTTGTAAATGTAAAATGAAATGAACACATTTCATTTATCTTTCCTTTAGTGACAGTGATTTAGAGAATAAACAAGTTAAAATTGTGAAACACTTTCAGTTAGCTTTAGAGCTTATTATTGATTTGCTCATTTGTTGATACTAGTAAAACTTTGTAGATTGTGGTAGCAGAACAAATTTATATTTATTTTTGAACTATGTAAGATTTGCATTGCATTTTAAGAAAGTTAAGTGAGAAAATATCATTTTCATAAGTTTTCATACTTGTCTATTAATTTCCTAGATTGAAAATGAAAAAGTATTTTCTAAATATAAGTTACATATTAATGCATTGTTCACATTTCTTGTGAGCTATGACTACTACAAATACCAAAATATTAAATTACTGAATGATATTACAGATTCTATATTGTCATACTTCCATCTAAGCATTTTAGGTATTTCTCTGATTACCTCTCTTTAGAGACTAAGTGTATCACAGGCCATTGAGACATGATGATGGCAGATAAAAATCCTTCTTCCCTACAGTTGTATTGTGTATATTTCCGATTGTAGGATAGATAGTTTCTTTATTTTCAGTGCATGAGAGATCCAAAATACGAATTAAAGACAAATTTATGGTAGATATGATTGTTATAGAATTTTACAAATGAAACATGTAAAATGAAGAAATACTTCAAATACAGAAAAAAATTTTCACCTCACCTAGAGAAATATGTAACCCCCTAGGAGGCCTCTGTTAAATTAATTCTTTGGTGAACTGGTGAACTTATACCTGTGTGTTTTGCTATTTTGTCTATTTTTTGTGTGTAAAGCAAGAACATTAGATAACTCTGCCAATTTAATTAAAGTTCTAGAAAAAGATGGAAATATACAACACCTAAAAACAGCTTTTGTTCACACCTGAGAAACAGGAAAATCACCTAAAGTTCTTTTTATTTTCTCATATTCATGAGACATAAATTTACTCATGGTCTAAATTGAGCCAATATTATAAATATTTGCTATAAGAAACTAATATAATACAACAAACAATATACAGAATATATGAGATTTTCATGATATTTATAGTGACTTTCATACTAAAGTAATATACAGTGTTGTATTTAAAATTAAAAAAATTCAGCAAAGTATAAAGGAAAAATAATCCTCATCCCTTCATCTATGTATTTTATGTGTAACAAATGCTAGCTCATTATTTTTGCCATTGATGTTAACTGCTTTTTTATTCATAGTTCTTGTTAATTGTCTACGCTTTGCACATTTATTTGGATTTTGCAATATAATTTTTAAAATTTTATTAGTGTTTATAATTTCTAGATAATCTTATGTTAATCAGGCAGACCCTCCTGGTGCCATTCTACCCACGTCCAATAGGATGGACATGCAGGTGAGTTAGTACCTATTGAATACAGCTCTAATGCAGCTGTCAACTGATAACTGGCAAAAGTTGTTGTAAATCTCTACATCCTTCAGGTGGGATAATTGTGACATATGTCTTACACACGTTTCCAGAGTTTCCAATTTTCTTGTGGTCTAAATTGAGCCAACAGTATAAATATTTGCTGTAAGAAGCTAATATCAGACAATAAGGAATATGCAAAAGTATTACATTTTTGTGATATTTATAGTGAATCATATACTAATAAAAGTCCAAATAAACCCTTAAAAATAAGCCCTCCAAGTAAACCCTCCATGTTAACCCCATTCTCCCACAGCATCCTTTATTGGGTGTATTCCTTTTCCTGCACCACTCCGCTGACTCCTGAAGTTCTCAACTCAACTATCTGCATTCTGATCTTTGGTTGAGGGTCTATTTCAAGGGGAATCTAAACTAAGAAAAAACTTCTATAACCAAAAAATGATGCAGATGCATTCTCATTTATAATCCAAATAAGCTTTAGGTTTAGTAAGTTCACATTAATCCATTTGTGAAAATTACAAATTTAGGGCTACTATACCTAATATTGAGATTCCAATCAAGTACTTAGGCTTAATGAAGCTATCTCACAGACTACATGGTCAGATGCCCATGGTAAATGGTGCTGGACTTGAGAGAAGCACACCAGCGAGCAAAAGCAGAGGATGAACAAGAGCTCCAATAGTACCACCTCCTTCCTTCCCTCGTGCGAAAGAGCAGGCAAGCAGAGTGTGCTATGTCACTTCCCAGAAAGACATAAATTTCTGGAATGTGCAAAGCAGCTACCATAGGAAGGAGGTACAATTCTGTGAAGTTTTGTGATGGCTTTCTCCAAAATGCATTCCCAAAGGTTATGAAGAAAGCCAAAACAGATGGTTCCAAAGAGTATTCACTTCTTCTGAAACGTGTGTTCTAATATTTGACACTAAGCATTGTTTTAATGATTAAGCCTGTCTCTATTTCTCTATGAGAGTAATTTGTTTCCTCCTTTTAAAAAACCCTCTTTCAAACCATCATTCTCAGCAAACTATCGCAAGGACAAAAAACCAAACACCGCATGTTCTCACTCATAGGTGGGATTGAACATTGAGAACACATGGACACAGGAAGGGGAACATCACACACCGGGGTCTGTTTTGGGGTGGGGGGGCGGGGGGAGGGATAGCATTAGGAGATATACCTAATGTTAAATGACGAGTTAATGAGTGCAGCACACCAGCGTGGCACATGTATACATACGTAACAAACCTGCACAGTGTGCACACATACCCTAAAACTTAAAGTATAAAAAAAAAACCCTCTTGTTTTCCCATTCCACATAGGCCAGTAAACCATTATTTTCTAAGCCACACAGAAGTCTTTTTTTTTTTAAGTTCTAAGAATGTATCCTTAACTTAATTTCATCAAGTTGAGAAAAAGTTTATTTTAATGAGACAATAAAAAGAACTTCAGGTGATTTTCCTGTTTCCCTGGCTTGAACAAAAGCTGTTTATGGGTGTTGTTTATTTTCATCTTTTTCTAGAACTTTAAATCAGTTAAATCAACCATCATAAGGAAGTTGTTTCATACTTGAGAATTCCCTATAAGTAAACACAATCTAAATTGTATAAAAAATGTTGAAACCTGAAAAAATAAGATTTTAATTGTTTTTTATTTGATCATGAAGCAGGGGCCTCAGAGAGGATGAATAAGGTAAAGTCTGCTGGCTGTCTCTCACAAAAGCAACCCCACTAATGCTAACATCTGGATTAGAGGCTGCATTTTCTGGGTTCGTCTCCTCTGCCTCCTTCTCCCTGATCAGTTTTGTATTAGACCTTTATGTTTTCATTATAACCTGGCAGCAAGGGCTCCCCTAAATAGAAAGTGTGAATGAAAGCAATTTTTTCCATTAACAATATATTTCCCTTTGGGGTCTCTGGCACATTATTGTTCTTTTTTTCAAGGAGCAAAAACCCCAAGAAAACTGTCTTCAGTTGTGAAGCATTATTATAGATCCTATCTGAAGGCCTTCGGTTTTGTTTTCTTCCTATGAAAACATCCTGAAATATGCCCATAAATAAATACAATTTCTGACACAACCAGCCATACAAGTATGAGCAAGTGTTGAACTAAAAACACACATCTTTTTTTAAGTGTAAATTTTCCCAAGTAGTCAATAAGAGAAAATCTGGAAGAACTGAAGTTTCAAAGTAAGGTAAAATATTACTTAAACATGTTTTTGGACAGATTGCATTTTTTTCTTGGAAACCACAAAAATATTACATGCAACAGCCCAAGTGTATTTATTTTATAGAGTTTGTTTGATTGATTGTGATATATAATGCACTAAGGCATATGTATGTATATACACACATATATAAATATACATATATAAAATATCCTAATGTCTTAAGACTGTATAGTAGTGTGTGTATATATAATAGCATATAGTATATCAAAATAATTACCAGAAAAAAGGGTTAGAACAACTGTTCATACAATCAGACCCTCCCCTTCACCTATGTCAGGTCCCCTAACTGCATTCCTATAAATCAGTAAGGCAAGGGCCCAGTGGATGCTGGGCTGTCACCTACAATGTCACTGCAAATTCTACTGTAAGAAAGCAAAACTGTGACTCTGGCTGCCTATGTAGTCTGCCCAGGGTCACAGAATAGGAAGAGTGAGGCTGAGGTTGTACCCAACAGTTCTCACAGTCCATGGCTCTTTTGACAACATCATGTGAAATATGCTAACACATTTCATGTTGTGTTGTTTTTCTTTTTAATCCACTAATTCCAGTCATTGATTGCATTCTTATGCAATCAATAAAAAGAGTGTGGAAAACAGTAATATTTTAAGCCAATATTACATACTACTTCAATTTCTGTTAGAAAGTAAAATCTAGGTAGAAAAATAATCTCTCAATACACTTCAAGCTCAAAATGGTCCATTTACAACATGAAAATACAAGCGTGATAACATTTTATGGACAGCATCACTTAAAATTAACAGTGGCTAAAAGTTTAAGAAATGCCTATTTGCAGTTATCAGTCCCGGTATAAAACAGACAAACATAGACAACAGCAACATAATGTTATATAAATAGCTGTTACTATAAAGAAATGGTCAATTCCTTTCTTCCTACTTTATTTTACTTTTTAAATTCTGCCTGACAGGTGATAACTCAATTATCTACTGTGATGAAAGAACAGAGAGAAGGGAAAGAAAGGCGGATAAGGGAGCAGCTCTCAGTATCACATCTAGTTTAAAAGGAAAAATAAACAATGGAAATCATTTACAAATTGATATGTTGGTTCTGCACTTACCATATTGGTAATTCTGAGCAAGAGAAAAAATTCCCCGAAAACAATAAATATATAAATTAAAAGTGCTCCGTGTCTTACCTAAGGCTCTCAAGGGAAAACTTGTGGCCTAGCTTTTCCTGACCCTGCCACTTCCTGCTCAGCCAGGGTCTGTCAGCTCATCTAGGGACAGCTTACAGTCACACAGGTAAATGTTCAAAAATAAACACATTCCAGTAAAGGTTACCTAATGGCTTTTCATGGATTTCGAAATCACTTTCCAACTATGTCAGCCTAAAAAAAATTCTGATAATTTATGTTACCCAGATGTTAAGAAATCCAACAGCTTTCACTACTCATAAATTTAACAGCATTAAGCACCTGCTGGCTCCAAGCAACAACTCCTGCCAAGAAGGAAGTAAGGAGCTTTGCGATACACTAATAGGCTCCTTCCTTTACCATCCAAGCTGAGTTTGGGTCTCAGTCCTGCAGCTTCACACCCTCCCCAGCCTCCCGCAGAGAGATCCTCAGGCTCCACACACCAAGAGTTCCAAAAACCCACTCTGCCAATTCTACACTGGATGCAGGAAGTGGAAACCAGAATTGGGATAGGGGTATTTCTAAATCTCAATGAACAAGGAACCCTAGCTGTTGGCTAAATTAATAAACAAGAGAAGCATCAGAGCACGTGTAAAATAACAAAAACTTAAACTTGAAAGTAGAGTAATATTAAAAAGTTAATTGTGACATGCCTTTAAACATGTGCATAAATTTTAAAACTATTTCGCCCAGAGTTTTCTCTTTCCCCTCTGCCAAACCCATTAACACATGTGAAAAATTTTGGATTCAGATTATACTCTTTCCATTTCATTTCTTTGATGAAAGTGCTAATGAGCATCAGAATGGTAGTAACATGGAAATCAGAAAAAGGTTAGATTTGAAACACATTAAAGGCCAGGATAATACTTGCTGATTCTCAAGAGTTTAGAATTGGACTTAGACCACAGCAAGGAAGTAGTAGATCTGTAATAATTCAGAGTGATTTGTAGAATTTTCATCCACATAACTGCCAATCTAAGCCTTCCTGTCTTGCTCTAGCAAGTCTAACTCATGCCTCCCTGGACTTGCTTCATCATCTCTTGCACTTCTTGTGGAAGCTCAGAATTTTAGCTATAGGACTGGAAAAAACAAACAAACAAACAAACAAAAAACTATTAGTGGCCACCATGTGCCTGATCCATCTGAGAAGGCACCAGTTGGATGGATCCATTTACCCAGGGTTACCCAGGGAAGATGCACGTTGTCTCCTGAAGGGGGCTCACTACCTGATGCAATCGTTGCCGGGAGTAATTACTGTCAAGGGCAAGATCTTTATTCTCTGATGTAAATTATCCTGCTGCTGCTCAGAGAAATGAATATCTTAGGGTACATACCTGCCATATATCAGTTAGAGTGTTTATAGTCTTGAAATGGTTAACCTCATTTACTCAATCTACATGGGGCACCTTTTCTTTTGACTGCCACTCATGATTCCAAGGCTACTTCTTATTCTTGAGGTGCTTCTCCTTTTATTTACCATTATTCTCCTTTTCCTCATAGGATATGTTGGCATAGAAGGATCTGTTGTATATGGATATCAAACCACATCCCCATCCTTTTGTACCTCCACCATTTGTTCATTGCATGAAGTACAATATGCAAGTTTCCTGCTAGTCATACTGGGCAATAAAGACGACAATCCTTGGTTTCCTCATTCTAATGGTATAGCTGGAAAATCAGAAAAATAACTCTTTATACACAAAGACTGGATATAGTAAGAAGTACTCTAGATGTAACAATAAAATGCAATGTAGTCACAAGAAAGACAGACACAATCATTTTTGGGAGGAAATAGTATTTTTTTCTCTGAGAGGTTGCCAATCTACTCATCAATCAGAGTAGCTAATATTTTTGAATGCTTACCATGTATTAGACACTATACTAAGCACTTCATATGCATTATAATTAATTCTCATACCAACTCTGTGAGGAAACAGGCTCAGAAAAGTTAGTTTGCCCAACAGCAGACAGTTGAATTGGGATCTGAATCCGGGCTGCTCTTTCTAGAATGAGAAATTTTAATGACTACTTTATACTTCCTATATGAAATAAAGAGAATATGGCCAGTGCATATATCCATTAAAATACTTTTTTCTAACTATCCACATTTTCACAGATGCAACTTTGTTGACTTGCAACTGGTTAAAGTAGCAGCATTTATTTTAAGTACTGCTTTCCAGTCTAATGAGATACGAGGAGGCTGTACTGGCAATGTTGTTATTTAATGTGCTTTTCAGTGGAAGATTCTATATAAATTATCATCATTAATCATTCATGGAAAAATGAACACTGAGTGGGTGAAGTTTTTTGTGGAAATATTATCTTAGGTTATTAAAATATAAGTAGATTTGTATGCCCAGGAGTTATAGTCATGGGAGAGAAAAGTATGAACTTACACAGCAAGTGAAACCCAAGTTAGAAGAATACTACTAGGAAGTCTTGGAAAAGAGCTGAATATTTAATTTTAGGTAGACACTATCAGGCTCTGACTTTGAAAGATTACCTAAGAGGTTCAATAAAAGTGATAGGAAAACATGAGTCCAATTAATAACAATTATATATATATACCCACATATATATATATCACCCAAGTATACCCATTACTACATCTAAGTCACTACTACCCATTGAGAAAACTATTACATCTATGAAACCCAAAAAGCTTCTATTAAAAATAAACACTCAGAAGCAAGAAATGACAGAATTCATAGAAACTAGAAATATACATTTTAAAGTCAATAGAATTTAAGGAAATATGTAAAACATGCAATAATTGAAAATAATTTTGTAAAAATATGAGAGACTTACACATAGATTAGTATCCAAGAAGTTTAAGATTCTTATAATAGAAATGAAAGAGAGTAGAAAGACAATAAACTGGTGGAAATAATCAAAGAAATAATAAAGGAAAATTTATCAGAGCTGATGATAACTATGAATCAGTCTTAAGAGCAAACATGGTGACTGAGTGCTCAGCAGGATTTTTTTGAAAAATAGACCCATCCCTGGACATATTCCAGTGAAATTTTTAAGCCAATAGTATATGAAAAATTCTTCAAAGTTCTAAAAGAGTCAATACAGCTTATCTATAAAGGATTGAATTTCAAATTGTCATGTTTCAATAGTGACGTTTACTAGAAGGCAACGTCTTCAAATTCCTAGGAAATGAATTTGTCCTAAAATTCTGTAGCCAGGAGAACTAACAATCAAATGCAACATCACAATACAACTTTTCCCAACACATAAGAACTCAGAATTTTATCTCCTATTATTTTTTAGATAAATTGAAGAGGTTCTCCAGCAAAATGGGTAAGAATTTATTTTTTTGTTCTATAATAATAAAAATAAGTGATGATAAGAGAGAAATTAATCAAAATTCTTACGCTCATAAAACTAGGACATGTAAGAGTCATGTGTGTCAGACTGGGTCCTCTAGGAAGCAGATGCCAGACAAAGAAGAAATGCAAGGTATTTACTGGAGGTGATGCCTGTGAAGGATAAAGAAGAAATGGGGAAGAGTAGGTGTGAAGAGGCTAAAGACAGAGGTGCTGGTCTGATACCTACAAAAGGTAAGCAGGTACGAGAAAGGATTGGGTAGAAGCAGTCTCAGACTATTTGATATAGCTTGGAGAAGGTCTCAGTCAGCCCAAAGGAAGGTCCAACTCAAAGATTGCTTATGGAGGGTTTCATACTGAGCAAGAATGGCCAGCTGCCAATATACCGTCATGCTTAGGCATTGGCTAAGCTGCCCAAGGAAAGCATGACCTCAGTTTGCATGTGCTGCAGTTTAAAAAGCACTGTAGTTGGAGGCTGTCAGCTAACTTCACTCCTCACAACAGCTTTTCTTGGGGGTTGAACTGAGCAGCACATATCCGAGGCTGATCTACCATGGCTAGCTAGGTCTACAGCCCATGTTTTCAACCACTGTCTTATGTTATCTGCTTAAGTCTATGGGTAGTCATTCAAGATAGGGTGATTAGAAAGTGAATAGGAGGTAAATATGGATTAAATGCAAAAAATACTTTTGCATCCAAATGCTGGAATTTCTAGAATTTCTCCATTAGAGATTAGATATTTTAATATCTTATCTTACAAAACATTAGTAGTATCTTAAACATATATATAAAACATGCACATAAACCCATAGAAAGAGAAGTAGAAAGAAGAAAGCCAACTACAAAATAGTGATTATAGCATGCTACAATGAGTGTAGAAAATGGAACAAAAACATATAAGTAATTGCTCCATATGTATAGATAGTGTCTAAAAGCACACACACACACGCATATGGCACACACACACAACTCCTAACACTATTTGCGTAAAGAAAAGAAAACTGTATGCCTAGAACATAAAAGTGGGATAAAGACTTCCAGCATTCACTTAGGAGAATTCCAGGCCAATGAAGGTGCAACTGTGTTATGTACTATTTTGACAACTTTTAGGCAAAATTCTATAAAATTTTCTGTTGGTTAGCAATGGCACTTTCTTCAGAATTATTAAGAGAACAATTGAGAAAGAGATTTTACTTCTCACCGCTTGTTTTTCAGATATACAAACTCAGCTGTCAGTTCTTCAAAACGTAAGTCCATAACTTGTGCCAAATCTGCCTCTTCTATCTGTAATCCCAGCATTTCTCCACTATCCAAGGCTACAAGACACAAACACTGTCTTTACATCCTACTTGTTGTTAGATTCAATTCCTTCTAATTTCTTATCTCCTCTGTCTCCCTCTTCTCATTCTCTTAAAGAGGACATGTCCTAATTTCCTACCTTTCCCTTCTTTGACGTGCTTTTTTTCCTCTACAGCAGATATGCACAAGTGGTGGCAGTGTAGAAAGAATTACGATCCACATGAATCATGTTGTACATTAATTAAGTACTTTAGACATCTCTGTAAGCAGAGACATGTTAGTATTCCACATCTACCTCATAAACCCATCAGTGTGTAAAATTTTGTCTTTCGTATTTTTTTTTTTTTTTTTTTTTTAGTAGATACTGGTTTCACCATGTGGGCCAGGCTGGTCTTGAACTTCTGACCTCAGGTCATCCACTTGCCTCTGCCTCCCAGAGTTCTGGGATTACAGGTGTGAGCCACCGTGCCCAGCCTAAAACTTTGTTTTCGATACAACTTTGTAAGCATGATATAAGAAAGGACTTATACATTTGTTATATGAGCTAGGCAGGCCAAGATTCTGAAACTAAATTGGCACCAAAGAAAGCACGTTCACATTGGAACGCTACAACTTGACATCCTGAACTTTAAAATGTCATGATTAGGTTAGTAAAAGTTTCTACTGAAACTCAAAAAGTGCTGAACTTGGGCAAAGGGAAAAAATGCCATGACTCTTGATGCTCTATTGATCACAGGAAACATGATTTTACTTTAGTAGTGACTGCATTGTAAATATTATGATTTACTTTATTGTTGTTTCAGATTTTTCAATTCCCTTCATTATACTACCAAAAAATTCTTGTATTGAAAAGTTTGCTGCAAATCACTGAATTGAATTAAGCAAAGTGGGAAATGAGAAGTACTGGAATTTCAGTTACTAGAACAATGAGGCAATTTGAATTATGACAAGGGCTAGCTGAAGGAAATCTTAATTCCCTAATAATCATTCAAATTTTGATTTCCAGACCTTCAACTCTTCAATACACTTGTAGACTTAAATAATAATCCTTGGGAAAGTAGTGCTTTCCCTGAGTTCCCTCCTACTGAAAGAAAGGAACCTGGAGAATCACCAGGAGTATATTCAACCCTGATCATATGACCTATCTCATTTAATTGTTCTTTTGGTAAGACTTTTTTTCTGTGTTCACTTACCCACTTTGTTCCCCCAACAATTAATTCATTCTCCCAAACCATCGATATGAGTATCATAAAATAGAATTTATGAGTTCATCCTCATATGGGGAAATAGATAAAGCATTGCTTTAAAGAACCTGAGATTTCCCTTGCTGAATTTTTAATTAATAACAAATCTACGGCAGGAGCTTAAGGGCCTTTCATGTCGCAGCTCTGCTCTAGTTTGCTTTCAGACCAGAGAAGAGACATCTGCCAAATGCCTGGTTGAAGTGGTGTTTTGCTTTCTCTTTTCAAGTATATCTAGCAATTGGAGATGATATTTTTTCTCCGATCTGAACTACTTTGTCAGTGTGTACATTGAGCTGTGCCTCCAAATATTCCCACTAAAGCAGAAACAGGTCTGTGGGACGAGCTGCTGAACAGATGATCCCTGTTTTCAGAGCTCGCACCACCGAGCACCTGCATCAGAAGCACTTTGTCAGGTGTCAGCTTTGGGGGAGAGAATCTCAGCTCTAGCACAGAACACCTGGCTTTTGGGAGCAAAATCACTATTAGCACTCAGATGGCAAAACAGCTATCCCACATCCTCTTTCCAGTTTACAAACCCAGAGAACTCAAGGGCTATGGGATGCTGCAAGAGTCCCCTGAAGCACTGGAGATAGCAGGCAACAAAGCTGCTAAGGATTATGCCTCTGAAAAGCTAGGCCAGCTACTCCATGGATCTCTTTATCTGTGGGTTCCACTGTGCTTTTTACATTTGGGGTGAAAATATGAAATCCAACCAATATGGGAATTTTCCACTGTGGTCCTGAACTTTTTGACTCTGACCAGGCACCAAAGATGCTAAAACCCAAACTGGCTCCAACAATTGGAAAACTTTGGTTTCCAATGAGGAAAAAAACAAAGATTCACATAATTATACACACAATTACATATATATATATATATATATATATATATATATATATATATATATGCACACACACACACATGCATACGCACACACACGCGCACACACACCACATCCTCCAGAAAGGAAAGAATAAAATACTTGGAAATATATGGGGGAGGAAAACAAGGAGATCTATACTTTAATTTCAAAATACAATAATATTTTCTGAGTTTTCCTCAAAAGCGGTCTTATTCACAAGTAGGAACAGGTGAAACTGATACTTTTTATATTTTATTTTTTCTTTTTAAGGGATACTATCAGTTAATCCCCCTTATTACATAGGGCTTACACAAAACAAATTAATATTTTTAAAGGATTGTGTATTTCTAAAACACACTGCATTTAAAGTTCCTTTTGCCAACAGGGTTTCAACACATTTTAGCATAATTTTTAAAGACAGAATACTCTTGTACATATATTTTCATCCTGATACACCAACAAAATGCAAGCAATAAAGCTAAGTTGAAACCAATTAGTAAATCAATGAAAGGGAATAAAAAGCATGAGTTATATAACTCTGGCTTCTTAAACTGATAGAAAACTCTTTTATCGACTGCATTTTGCTTACAACATGGGTAAGCAGGTCCCTGAGTTTTTTACCATTGAATTAGGGACAAACGTGTGTGTGTGTGTGTGTGTACGCGTGCATGCATTGGGGAGAGAGAATATGAAAGAGAGAGAGAGAGAAAGAAATATGGCATTTTATTTAGTGTTCTGTCCAATTTCAGTTTCTCAGACTATATGCCTTTCTATGCAATTGATGCTGAGTTCTTTAAGCCAAACCCAGCCGAAAGTTCAGATACGCATTTATCATAACACTTGAAATCCAATCTCTGTTCCTTTTCCTTTTTCTTTGTAAAAAGTCATTACCAAACATATTGACTTCAAACCCTGGGGACTCAGAACCAGCAAAATTTGGAACAAGGATAATAGATAACAGGTTTTTGTGAGTTTGCCTCCCTCTTAGTAATAAAGAAAATGAAGAGAATGAGATTAAAGAAGAGAAATAAAAAGTGAGCAAAGGCCCAAGACCAACGACCTCATCATTCCACAAATTAGACTGGCGTACCCTCTTAAAGGGAAAATGTTTTAGAATTTCCAGACAGCCGTATCTTCTTTTCTGGAGGAAGCGTTCATCATTCGTGACAAAGGGTAGTTATTTTGTGTGATGCTTTGTGCTAGACAAATAACAACCTATTCACGATGGGAGCTGTTCAATGATAGGTAATGATTTTTATTTGAGAAATGTGTACTAATATCACTTAACTGATTACCAAAGAGAACTTGGTCAATTTGGCTGCATTCCTCATTCTGCCTGTGCTGTAGGATTGTTTTAGTATTGGCATTGTCAGGCAGCTCCGGCATGGCACCTTTCATGCCCCATTGATTATTTTCAGCCTATTAAGAGATGCAATTCATCAGTCATTTTCAAGAAGTATTAGCTTTGTGTTTTATATGGCATTGGGCTGCACTCTTCCTGAGGGAAATAGAATGGAGGAGGTACTAGGGTGGCAAATGTTGCAGGACCTAAAAAACCAAATGAGGGCCTTCAAAGCTGTGCATCAGAAATTACTCCAGCCTAGTCAATGAGAGGTCCATTTCCAGTTTTCATATTATAGGACGTTTTGGCTACTGGCAATACATATTCTTCTCAAGGTTATCATGCGCCTGTTCTTAGCAATTTCACGTCTCACATTGGCTGGAAGAAATGTTTATGCAGTTGCATTTGAAGTGTAATCCAAAAGTTTTCTGATCAAATATTTTATTCCTAGGAGACACTCAAATTCAATCACTCTGAGATAAATGCTGAGAAAGTCATGTTTAAACATCATTCTTAGCTTGACGGTAGAATATAATCCATTTTAAAGGTTCATCGTAACACTGAGGAAAAATAACCCATCATCCAACTGCATATACATTAGGCAAACCAGTCTATCTAAATGAATTGCATGGCATGACATCGGAAGAAAAAGGGAGAAGATTTAAAATAGGTGAAAATAGTTTCTAGGTATTTATTTAAACATTGTAATTCTTTATCACATGCACCCTTTACCTTCAAGTTATCAAATCATATTCATGCTTTATCATTTTATGCTAAGCATAAAATATGTCTGTAATAGTATCAGAAATGGCTTTCGTTATTTGAGAACTTATGCATATAAATATTTTTACATTTTTTGCTTTTTTGTTATTTTAGTACATTTGTCTATGACAATGTCTGAGGACTTTTCTTTATCGCTTGTTAATTGTTTCCCAGTGTTCTCATACAAGACACCAAAGAATGTCTTATTGGCCCAATGGAGGTGGCAAGACTGATTGTCAGGATGTTCTTCTAAATCATTTAACTTCTTATACGTGAGTGTAATCTTTAACTTACTTGATTCTCCACTTTATTTTATCTAACTACTTTCAATAAAAAATAAATTTTTCTATTGCCAAAGCAGTGGAAATTATATCAAAATTATTTACTGAATTATTTGTAGAGTTAATGGTTCATTAGGAAGGGGGGAAGGAAGGAAGAAAAGAAAGAGGAAGGAAGGAAGGAGGGAGTGAAGGAAAGAAAGAGAGAGGAAAAAAGAGGAAGGAAATTTAAGCCCATAGGAAGCAAATGTCCTGCATACTTATTTTTAATTACAGGTGAAAAAAGTTTTTGCTTTGCTTTTTAAAGTTAGCATGAAAATATAAAGCTAACTTTACAAAAAGCAGAAAATATAAAATTTACTGTGTCTTCCTGTGATACATTTTTTTATCCATATTTCTGGCCAGCAGTAAAAGATTCTTTGTTTCTCAAAGAGAAATAGAATTGTTTTTTAGTTTCACTGGAGTTTTAAGTTTACTTTAACTCCAGTTAAACTTAATCATATTAATTATCCTTGAATCTATAATCATAATACCTACTCTTTTGTTTGTTTATGATTGCTTTGCTTGAGTGCCTCAATTTTTTTTTTAAGTCTTAATGACCTGCCTTGGATAAACAGTTTATACTTGAAAATAAATGAAGACTCTTTGCATGTGTGATATTGTTGTATAATAGAAATTTTAAACTCCTTTAAGAACACAAGGAGCTACTTGCTCCATTTACTGTCTGAAGTGAAAGAATAAGGTGCGATTATACACAGTATAAATTAAGATGTCTTGAGAGCATAGAGCTTTAGGTGATACATTAAATTAAGGTTCTCAGATGTGTGTTTAATTAAGATATTTAATTTGAAATGTCTGTGCTCTTCTTTAATTCCAATTGATTATTAAGAATAGATTTCTTTAGGATATTTAAAAGGTGAGTAGAGGAAGATATGGTGGCTGACCTCAGAAGTTTATCTAAGATATTCCAATTGTCAAACAAATGTAGTGTTTGTCTCTACTTCACCTAGGATGTTCTGCCTGGAATCTGAGGCTGCTATTCAAATACTAGATTCAGGTAAATCAAACATGGGACAAGTTGAAAATGCCCCTTAATTTACCAAGAGTAGCCTCCCTCCGAATCTCCAGCTTAGTTATTTATTATTTTTGCTTACACCTGATAAAATAATTTGTACTACAGCTGTGGCTACGTATCCAAACATTTTTAAATGTCCCAGTTTGCAAATATTCATTGAGAGCTTACTATTTGGAAAGGACTGTATCAATTACACTAAAAGTCGGAGAAAATTATTTGAAAGCATTCCACTCTCAAGTAGCTTACAATCTAATTAAGAAACCACATACAAATACACACACACGAGTAAATGATTAGATGATAACATAAGATATGTTAAAAATGCCAAGTAATTTCTGTGAAAATCAGAGGAAATCTAGAGGTGCAGGTGATTCTGTAGATTGTAATGGTAAAATATGGCCTTTCAAAAGAGGAGATTTTTGCTCTGGACTTTGAAAGAAGGCCAAAGTTAATAAGAGGAAAAAACATTGACTGACTTCCCATAACATATCTGGAATTCTCCTAAGTGCTTTTCATGAATGGTGGCTTTTAAATCTCAAAATGACCCATGAGATTGCATTATTTATATTCCCTTCTACAGATAAGGCAGTTGAAGTACAGAGTGCTTAAGTTCCACAGCCAGGCGGTGCAGAGCCAGGATGTGAACGAACCTCAGAAATCAAGTTCCAGAACCCCTTCTCTTGACCCCCCTGCCCCCACCACAGCCTCCACGTATCAGAAAAGCAGAGAGATGAATATGGGTCAGCATGAAGAAGCAGTTTAAGATTTCAGTGGTGTAAGAAATGGTCCACTCCAAATCATATTCCAATGAAGTGATTAGAAAGTAGAGCTGAAATGTAGGTGAGGGCCAAGGTGAAGACTTCAAAAGGCAAATTAAGTTGATTAGGCCTTTGTCCTAAAGCAGGAGGGAGTCACTGAAGACTCTTCAGTTCACTGCTGACATGGCAAGGTGTCCTTTTCAGAGCCTGTTCAGGCTCAGAGGCCAGGATGATTCACCTTTCTATGGAAAGCTAACACCCATCAGTTATTGACTACTTATGCTCCCTCTAGCTTTGTATCTACAAAACCTGAAATTTACTTGTTTTTTATTTGATTCACTATTTTCCTCTTTGTGTTTTGAATGATAACCTTTATCTATACTTCGGTTGTTTCTTAATGGAAACAAAAAGGCAGTGTGGGGGCTTGGAAAATTGACAAACTAGATTTGAATCTGGGTATCAGTGCTTACTAGCTGCAGGAATTCAGGTAAATTATGTAATCCTTCTATATTTCAGTTTCCGTTCTCAAAAATAAGGAAAAAAATAGCCCTAATGATGAAATGAAAAAATGCAAGTGAGTGAACATTGTAACGACTTCACGGATAATAAGAACCAGCATTAGTTTGCAGCTTAGCGCATGGCACGCACTGTTCAGGGTGCCTGATACAACCTACTGTGCTCATCTCAGGACACTTTCCTTAGGTACTCACTTGTAGTATAGCAAAGAGGACCAACAAAGCAAGTTACTTTCCCAGCCTCAAGAGTAAGTAAAGGCAGAGCAAGGATTTGACGTCACTTCAGTCTGATTCAGAAAAAAATAATTTGGTCTTTTCTACTGGATGGCCTCACAATTGCTTACTGGTTGATAACACTATACTTCCCAAGTCATGGCTCCCTACCATCTCCATACACTTTGCTCATAACACAAACTGTCTGCATTTTGGTGTCTCTAACATCTTCCCATATACTATTAATATCTACTTCATCTGATTCCCAGAACACTCTTCCTGAAGTGCTGGGTGGATCATGTCATTCCACTGCTCAAAATCTTTGAATGGCTTCCTGCTTCTCATTATCTAATGATTAAGATGAAAGCCAAGATCCTCACAAATGGGTCTACCTCTATGATGGTATCTCTCTCCAGCACCTGTGAATAAAACCCTCTTCTCCATCCAGTGAGCTCACTATTTCACTGCTTGAACATACCTTGAACTTTCTTATGAGTGAGTCTCAGCTAGAGGGAGATAGAGACAAATGCATTATGTTTTTTCATGAAACTTATCAAGGCATTCCAACTATACGAGAAGATTCATAAAGGCATGGCTAAGCTTGTCCTGGTCACTTCCATGAGGTTCCCAGCACCTAACATGCATATAATATATAGATTCACATACACACATACATATGCATACACACATATATGTAATAAATGAATGAACAACCATCTGCCTAGAGTTATGATAGCTGTGTCAGTTTACTTCAGGGCTTGTTATTTGTGACCCTCAAAAGGGCCTCCCAAAGTAAATGTTTCAGTTTACAAATAAAGAAGCTGAACATCAGAGGACCTTAAGAACTTTGCCAAAGGTCACTCAGCTCTCAAGGAAAAGCTCCTCACTCCATCTGACTCAAAAGCAAGCCTTTCCACAGTATGCATCTTTTCACAATGGCTGTGTCATGCCGATAGATTCTCCTTTCTCTGTCTCAGGTTCCTCCCATTTAAGTAACTGTCACAGACTTGAGGTCGTTTCAGATGGTCCCCTATTTTAACACTTGATGATTCTGTACGTCTGTCTGTGAAATCCAGAGAGGATTTCTTAAAGTAAACATAGTTTTTTTGAAGTTCTTTGTGATCACAGCTACTGTTTTAATTCACCAACACTCAACAAGAAGTCTACAGCAACCATCACACTGATGCTACCCATCAACAGCCCAGGAACCACAGCTCTCTTTACTAATTTAATTTATTCTCAACTTTTAGAAACTCCTGGGATACAAAGCCAGACTGGTTGCATGAAGCTGGGGAACAGGTTGAAATCTCTGGAGACGAGGGCATGAAGCAATAAATCTTTCTCTTTCCCCTCTAGTTTGACAAACTGAAGACTCAGAACCTCCTAGGTCCACAAGACCCCATTAGATTTCCTTACGTGGAGAGGAAAGTTCATGATAGTCCTGATGCTGATCTCAGCCTGTTGGGGTGTGGCTTGGGGGTACAAGCGGACTCTAACCTTATCAACAACAACAAAAAATAGTTTGGAAGTTATGGAGACCATAGGAAATGTTTCAAGAAGCAGGTCAATGAAACAGATCCAGCATAGGAAGTCGGAGCACATAGAGCATCAGAGAGTGCATCAGTGTAGCAGGTGAGTCAACTGGCATAGAAAGAGCTGCCTCTCTAAAAGGCAGAGGCCACCAAGCGTTTGACAAAAGGCACTGATTTTTTTGTTCAACAGAAATCCATTAAGGACACTGGAAAAGAGAGAGAGGGAGAGAGAGAAAGGAGGAGGGCAGCTCACTGGCAGGCACAACGTAATTAGGGCTATTACATTTTTTTCCTAAAGTAGTTATTTGTGGTTCCTCCAAACTCTAATGTGTTTTTATGTTGCAGCCTGTTGTGATTGGGGCAGGCTGCTTGACATTTGCAAGGTTCCATTGCTATTAAAAAGAATGATGTTATCAAGAGGAAAGCGAGGCGACAAAGCAAAATTAATGAACACCACCATCTAACAAAGCAAAATAAATTAAACGATGGTTGACTTACGTTGTGTACTTCCCAACGGTGACTGAGGGAAAACCTAAGCTTTTAACCCCCTATGCTCTGAGCTTAGCACCACGGGCGAGTGAGCTCCTGTGCAACTGAGGGACGCTCTATGTTCCATGTTTCTACACAGGCAAGCTAAGTGGTAAGCCATTCATACCCTTCAATAATAAAATTGTTGCTTGTGCTTTCTACAGAGAGGGCAGCAGATGGAACACTGTAGGGAATGTTTTCCCTAAGTCTGTATTGCCTCCAAGCACACTTAAAAGAAATATTATTAGCTTTGCCACACATTGAACATAAATGAGGATAAACCAACTGGTAAATTTTAAACCAATTAGAACCCACAATGTCCCCAGATTCTGTGGGTTCTATGGTGCCAGTGATCTGTCACTTTGCACATGCCAGTGTCACCAATAATGGCTAGAACAAGTTGCCCAAAGCTACCACAAAACAATAGTAGCTTTCTAGAAAATGCTCGATGGCATAGAAATGAATACTGCCATAAGTAGTTACCACTGTCAGTCACTAAATGCGGACCTATGCAGCTTGAATCCCGTGGCCAGAACTGTGCTACAGGTGTAGAGGGACATAAGAGAAATATGGTTCGCTGCCTATGAGAGTTTGTAATCTGGTTGGAATGGTGAGATATGATCAGGTGCAACAAACAGAGCAAGATAATGATATACTGTGTGTGTATATAAATACACGTATGTACATGTATATATAAAACAAGAAGTTATATTGATCTGCATGCAGTTACAAACAGAAAGCTACATTGCTAGATCTAATAAAGTGTTTAGTTTTTTCTTCTTTTGAAATTAACCCGCTGCTTCACATTTCTAACATATTTTACATTTTGTTTTCAAAGCACTTTAGTCTATAGTATTTGGTCATCACAACATGACTGAATCATTGCGTGAAATAATTAAAAGGCCAGCAGGACCACCACGAATATAGTCCCATTGTATAGATTAGTCATGGGCCTAGTGAAGTCACGCTACATATGAGACCAAAAGACTAGTATGTTGTTTTAATAGTGCACAGATTGCTGATTTTTCATTAAATTTAAATATCAGAGAAAAAAGAGAGATCACTGTGAACTGACAATGTTCTACAATATGTTGCAGAGGAGAAGAGGAGAGGGAGGCCTGAGGAAGGGAAGAACAGGTGCTCTGAGCAATGGCCACAGCAAAGGTTACCTTTACCTCATCCTAGTTTCTCTTCTTGGGGAACCACTCTTAGAGAGACCATTCTGAGCAGATATTACCATCTGCTCCCCACCATAGACAGTAGTTTTTTCTTTTATTTTAAGTTCTGGGACACATATGCAGGATGTGTAGGTTTGTTACATAGGTAAACGGGTGCCATGGGGGTTTGCTGCACCTAGCAAGCTATTACCTAGGTACTAAGCTCGGCACGCATTAGCTATTTTTCCTGATGCTCTCCCCACCTTCATAGACAGTATTTTAAAGCATGCCAATGAGTTTAACAGGTACTCATTTTTTAAATCAGTAATCAAATAGCTGTGATTAATTAGTAGGCACACATAAAATTCACAGAAAGTAAATGTCCAGGCAGGGCACGGTGGTTCATGCCTGTAATCCCAGCACTTTGGGAGGCCGAGGAGAGCAGATCACAAGGTCAGGAGTTTGAGACCAGCCTGACCAACACGGTGAAACCCCGTCTCTACTAAAAATACAAAAATTAGCCAGGCGTGATGGCATGTGCCTGCAGTCCCAGCTACTTGGGAGGCTGAGGCAGGAGAATCACTTGAACTCGGGAGGCAGAGGTTGCAGTGAGCTGAGATTGCACCACTGCACTCCAGCCTGGCAACAGAGTGAGACTCCATCTCAAAAAAGAAAAAAAGAGAATAAATGTCCAAGTAAAACTGGACCTGTAATTATTTGCACATTAATAAGAATAGCCTTTCCTTAAAGCCCATAAAATAACCTCAAACCAAACATCGAGAACAGCTCTGTTCCTGAGGAAATCTCAGGGCCAAAAACTGTTATCCATTGTACCTATTGCCAAAGTAACACTACCTTTTAGGGGAACTTATTTTCAATGGTGATCATACAAAGGAACAGGTCATAAAGTTTGTATTGCCCTATTGGGAAATTTCTAGAGTTTATTTGTAAGAAACAGGCTTCTTAGGCTTATTGCAATAATAGAAAAGATAGACACAAAATACCTCCAAAAATGGAGGGTTTTAACTACCACCAATAAGTCAGCTGTTGTTCAAAGAGAACAGAGATAAGAAGATATGAACATCAATGCAGGTTATTATTACCAAATGGAGCTCACTAAGCTCAGCATCCCTGACACAGTGTATTTTAGACGCTATAAATTTCAACCTAGGCCAAGCTTTACAGAAACTTTTAAAAAAATTTTTATTATGAGTTCAGGGATACAAGTGCAGGTTTGTTACATAGGTAAACTTGTGTCATGGGGGTTTGTTGTACTGATTATTTTATCACCAGGTATTAAGCCCAGTACTCATTAGTTATTCTTCCTGATCCTCTCCCTCCTCCCACCCACCACCCTCCGAAAGGCCTCAGTGTGTTGTTCCTCTGTATGTTTCCATGTGTTCTCATCATTCAGCTCCCTCTTATACGTGAGAACATCCAGTATTTGGTTTTCTGTCCCTGTGTTAGTTTGCTAAGGATAATGGCCTGGAAGACAACTTAGGCAACACTATTCAGAACATAGGCATGGGCAAAGATTTCATGACGAAACTGCCCAAGGCAATTGCAACAAAAGCAAAAATTGACAAAGGCGATCTGATTAAACTGAAGAGCTTCTGCACAGCAAAGGAAACTACCGACAAAGTAAACAGACAACCTAAAGAATGGGGGAAAATTTTTGCAAACTATGCATTCTGGAAACGTGTTTTCTAAAGCAAATAGATACATATCTCTTCCATCTTAGCATCCTCATCTTCGTGTACGTATGTATGTATACATAAAATATGAAACAGAACAAGATAAAATATAACTCATGTCTATATTCTTTATATGTTCAAGTCCATTTCTATGTTTATCTTTTTTTCTCATTTCACCAGAGCTTATTTGTGCTAAAATTGATGAAGCTTATCCAATAATTAAAACTGTGGTTGAAGAAGATACAATGGTTCTGAAGTATCTTTCTTTGTCAAGCAACTCTATTTGGTACAGGGATTAAAGTCAGACGACAAATGTGACCTAGTTTCAACATTAAAACGTTCCTAATTTAGAAATTAAAATGCCTTAGTTACACTACCTATAAAATGAAGATAAAGATTCTAAAGAATTCCTTAATGATTTATATAATAAAACATTTATAAATCACATCATAGACGAATGTAAAATAGTAATGACAAAGCATTCATCACTCTGATACCAATGAGGTGTCTCCGCTTTCATATTTTCAAATGGAAAATAGTATATATTCATTTCTATTTTTATTTGATAGAGAACATTATGTGATATTCTGCTAATTATTTCATTTTATAATTACACTTTGCTTAGCCAAAAGTTAAAATCCACTTGTTTTACTTGAATGTAGAGGAAGAACCCCAGGAACAGATATTCACTGCAAGGGATATTATCCTGGAATTTAAACAATTCAACACCATCTCGTACATGAGCTCATTCAGTTGTATGTGTTTATAAACTCCCCTATGGGACATTGGATAATTATATTCATTCATCCATCACTCATTCACTCACTCTTGCATTCTTTAACAAGAATTAATTGAGCACCTATTATAAACTGTAACTTGCAGGGTGCAGTAATTTTCTAGGGCTGCTGTAACTAACTACCACTAGGTGGCTTAAAACAACAGAAATGTATTCTGTCTGAGCACTGGAATCTATAAACCCAGCGTCAAGGTATCAACGGGACCATGCAAGTCTCAGACTCTGGGTAGAATCTTCCCTTACCTTTTTCTAGTTTCTGCAGGTGGCCTCCAATCCTTAGTGTTTCTTGGCTTGCAGCTGCATCTCTTCAATATCTGCTTCTGTTGTCACCTGGTATTCCTGTGTGTGTCTCCACATTCATTTGGCATTTCTCTCTTCTTACAGATACCAGTCATGTTGGATTAAGGGCGACCGTACTCAAGCATGACCTCATCTTAATTTGATTACATTTGCAGAAACCCTATTTCCAAACAAGATAACATTTCAGATACCAAGGTTAGTGTGTCCGGAATTGGTGGGTTCTTGGTCTCACTGACTTCAAGAATGAAGCCGCAGACCCTCGCGGTGAGTGTTACAGCTCTTAAGGTGGCGCGTCTGGAGTCTGTCCCTTCTGATATTCAGATGTGTTCGGAGTTTCTTCCTTCTGGTAGGTTCGTGGTCTCGCTGGCTCAGGAGCGAAGCTGCAGATCTTCATGGTGAGTGTTACAGCTCATAAAAGCAGCGTGGACCCAAAGAGTGAGCAGTAGCAAGATTTATTGCAAAGAGCAAAAGAACAAAGCTTCCACAGTGGAGAAGGGGACCCAAGCAGGTTGCCAACGCTGGCTGGGGCAGCCTGCTTTTATTCTCTTATCTGGCCCCACCCACATCCTGCTGATTGGTAGAGCCGAGTGGCCTGTTTTGTCAGGGGCTGATTGGTGCCTTTACAATCCCTGAGCTAGATACAAAGGTTCTCCACATCCCCATCAGATTAGTTAGATACGGAGTTTGGACACACAGGTTCTCCAAGGCCCCACCAGAGCAGCTAGATACAGAGTGTCGATTGGTGCACTCACAAACCCTGAGCTAGACACAGGGTGCTGATTGGTGTGTTTACAATCCCTGAGCTAGATATAAAGACTCTCCACGTCCCCACCAGAGTCAGGAGCCCAGCTGGCTTCACCTAGTGGATCCCGCACCGGGGCTGCAGGTGGAGCTGCCTGCCAGTCCCGCGCCGTGCGCTCGCATTCCTCAGCCCTTGGGTGGTCGATGGGACTGGGCGCCGTGGAGCAGGGGGCGGCGCTCGTCGGGAAGGCTTGGGCTGCACAGGAGCCCACGGAGGAGGGGGAGGCTCAGGCATGGCGGGCTGCAGGTCCCAAGCCCTGCCCCGCGGGAAGGCAGCTAAGGCTCGGTGAGAAATCGAGCCCAGCGCCGGTGGGCCGGCACTGCTGGGGGACCCAGTACACCTTCCGCAGCCACTGGCCCGAGTGCTAAGTCCCTCATTGCCCGGGGCCAGCAGGGCTGGCTGCTGCTCCGAGTGCGGGGCCCACCAAACCCATGCCCACCCCGAACTCCAGCTGGCCCGCA
This sequence comes from Homo sapiens, assembly GCF_000001405.40. Lineage (NCBI taxonomy): Eukaryota > Metazoa > Chordata > Mammalia > Primates > Hominidae > Homo > Homo sapiens. Next base: position 8,887,206 of record NC_000006.12, on the reverse strand, counting down.
AGCGCCGCACGCAGCCCCGGTTACCGCTCGCGCCTCTCCCTCCACACCTCCCTGCAAGCTGAGGGAGTGGGCTCCAGACTTGGCCAGCCCAGAAAGGGGCTCCCACAGTGCAGTGGGGGGCTGAAGGGTTCCTCAAATGCCACCAAAGTGGGAGCCCAGGCAGCGGAGGTTCCCAGAGCAAGCGAGGGCTCTGAGGACTGCCAGCATGCTGTCACCTCTCATTAGGACTTCGATTTATCTTAGGACTTCAATATATCAAGGTTAGGATAATTCAGCCGGCAGCATATGGGAACAAGGTAAAGCTGTATGGAAGATCAACATGGTTTTCTACTTCATGGAACATAACAATATTCAGAGGTGTTCAAACAAACAAAATGTTTAAAAAATATTTGTATATGTCATTAATAGCAATTGTAAGAAGTACGATAACAGAAAAGCATGATATGAAATGGTAATAAGGATGACAAACTGCAGGGGTGTGTATGGTTCATCCAATATACAGTACTCATATCAAGAAAAAGTATCCTATCTTTGGGCACGGTGGCTCATGCCTATAATCCCAGCACTTTGGGAGGCTGAGGCGGGCAGACCATTTGAGGTCAGGAGTTCAAGACCAGCCTGGCCAACATGGCGAAACCCTGTCTCTACTAAAAATACAAAAATTAGCTGGGTGTGTTGGTGCAGGCCTGTAATTCCAGCTACTTGGGAGCCTGAGGCAGGAGGATTGCTTGAACCTGAGAGGCGGAGGTTGCAGCGAGCTGAGTTCATGCCATTGCACTCCAGCCTGGGTGACAGAGCAAGACTCTGTCAAAAAAAAAAAAAGAAAGAGAGAGAGAAAGAGAAAGAAAAAGAGAGAGAGAAAGAAAGAAAGAAGGAAAAGGAAAAAGAAAGACAGAGGAAGGAAGGAAGGAAAGAAAGAAGAAAAGAAAGGGTAATCTATCATTTTAGGATGGTACAAAGTCTGGAATTCCTGGGTTCAGAAGGATCAGCTAGTTGATGCTCCAGATTCTTTTTACCTTAAGTATTAGTTTTGCTATCATTAAGAAATGCTTAATCACAGAAGTGATAATGATGCGCAATGCAGTATGATTGCAGTGTGCAGATTCTGTGGAAATTGAATTAACAAATAATGTCAATGTTAAAAATATTGATTTTAATATATTTTGAATTCCCTGTAGCTGTTCATTCCTCGGATGCTGATGATATTTGGAGATGATCGAGAAAGAAGCATAACATTAATCAAAAAATTACAATTTCGGATTATTCAGAGCAAGAAAGTGAAGTTTACAAACCACTAAAGATGATGCTGTGGGTATTTGTACATATGAATGAGTTCTGTTGTCCATGTGGAAGTCTGTCATTTGAAGACAGGTACAGAGTCTACTGTAGCCAATTTCTATAGCAATAAGAGCCATTAAAAATGTCAGGATCATATAAATTGAGATCATTTGCCCCAACTTTGGGATGAGAAGCAGAGAAAACTCTCATTCAAAAGGAAATTTGTGCTAGCTTTGTCTTGCTTTTCAGAATAGATATCAATGCCAGGCTCTCAAGGCTTAGATTGCTTCTGTGTACCATTGAAATACAGAAAACCTTCCATTGTTCATGAATATTTATAAGCTTTCTCTTCCTCATGACACATAGGTAGGACTATGAACTTTGAGTGTATTTCTAAATATAACCCATTGACTAGTTGAGAGTTTTAAAATGTCCATTCCAGATTCCTTACATCTTCCTGCCCTAGATAAATTCAAATTTGGTTTGCTGTAATACTCCTGATTACCAGGAACCATTACTGAATACAAAATGTGATTATGTCTATTTGAAAATGACAGAGCACCATACACATTTCTGTTAGTGTAATTTTGGCCTCCTGCTTTGACATTTGTACATTCTCCCATCTTAAAAAAAAATCTAAGGATAGCATTATTACAGTGCCCTTCAAATCCTCAAGTAACTTGATCTTAATAGTACATAGATGCTTCCACTAAGATCTTTCCTTTTGATTGTACTCAAATATTTTTGAAAACTACAGGCTTGAAAATACAGATAAAAGATAACTGATCCAAAAAGGTGTTCTAATATTTCCCTTGCTTGCTTTAGTGACATCTCATATTTCAGTTTCCAGTTTGCTTTTTAAAAAATTTTACTTTTGACCCGGTGCAGTGGCTCATGCCTGTAATCTCGGCACTTTGGGAGCTGAGGCAGGCAAATCATCTGAGGTCATGAGTTCGAGACCAGCCTGCCCAACATGGTGAAACCTCATCTCTACTAAAAATACAAAACTTAGCCGGGTGTGGTGGCAGGTGCCTGTAGTCCCAGCTACTTGGGAGGCTGAGACAGGAGAATCACTTGAGGTCGCGAGGTAGAGGTTGCAGTGAATCAAGACTGTGCATTGCACTCCAGGCTGGGTGACAAAAGCGAAATTCTCTCAAAAAAAAATACTGATAATAAAATAAAATGTTTGCTCTTTTTTAAGAAGCTAATTACTATCAATGATCAGTTTTTCCTGTCTAAACTATGTTCTAATCAGTTTATCCTCTGTAAACATATCTCTGTTCCTGGAAAATAAGATGTCAAGCTTGGATGAGACAAGTTTCTAAAGGTCCCTTTTGTTAATTGATTGATTGTGATAAGTCTATTTGATCTATGGTTTAGTCCTATGTATTTTGGAAGAAAATGTCTCCTCCCTTCAAAATACATGTGCTCAGCTACCCTGTAGTGAGTCAGCGAAAGGTGTCCACTTATATACAGCAGAAAAGGGATGTAATGAATCAGAAAGGGATGTGTTTTATGCAGTAAGCACTTTCCACACTCTTTCCTGCACTGCTACATTTATGCTGAAATGGTCCATTTATTTTAATCCTAAATAGGGTCCCTAGACAAGAGCCGAGAATGGAAGTCAAGTAAAAGAAAAAAGAAAAGGATTTCTATTTCAGAAAAAACAAAATTCAAAATAAGGGGGAAAAAAACAACCCTCATTTAGCCCTTGGTAAAATTGAATTTTTATGGCACCTACTCTTTCTCACTGTGGGAATTTGCTTTCAAAGCTTCTCCGTTACCCTCCAATCTCGATGAGGCTTGCAGCGAAATAAATCACCCCCCTCTCTCATCACAAGTATGTTCCTGCTGTAGTCCTGCATCTCAGAAGAAGGATGGGAAGGTTGAGTTAAAATCATCTGTTCCAGGTAGAGACCTTCAATTGATAGGTTCTAAAAATGAGTCTGTGAGTATCAGCAGCCCCTACAAAATTATCTTCTACTCACACCAGTGGGATCGGTGTACAAAGTCAAGAGCACAGCCCTCCCACAGGCCCTACCAACCAACCCCAAACAGGCAGCATAGGAACATTGCTCAAAACAGAAATTCGGGAAAGCAAGCCGTGTAAGGCAACTGCCCTCCCTTTTTTTTTTTTTTTTTTTTTTTTTTTTTTTTTTTTTTTGAGACGTAGTCTCCCTCTGTCGCCCAGGCTGGAGTGCAGTGGCCCGACCTCGGCTCACTGCAAGCTCCACCTCCCGGGTTCATGCCATTGTCCTGCCTCAGCCTCCTGAATAGCTGGGACTACAGGCGCCCGCCACCACGCCTGGCTAATTTTTTGTATTTTTAGTAGAGGCGGGGTTTCACCATGTTAGCCAGGATGGTCTCGATCTCCTGACCTCGTGATCCGCCCGCCTCCGCCTCCCAAAGTGCTGAGATTACAGGCGTGAGCCACCACGCCCGGCCGGCGCCAGCCCTCTCTATCATGACCGGGAAAGTTTAAAATCTTGACCAATTAATATAGTTAGATTATGAAAGAAATAGAGCAGAAATGGAGATTTTTCAAAGAACTGGAAATAAAACTACCATTCAATCCAGCAATCCCACAACTGGGTATATAAGCAAAGGGAAATAAACCGTATAGAAAAAGATACTTGCACTCGTACATTTATCACAGCACAATTCACAATAGCAAGACCTGGAATCAAGTGTCCGTCAGTGGATAACTGGATAAAGAGTGGTATATATACATCCCATGGAATATACTCTGCCATAAAAAGAATATCATGTCTTTTACAGCAATGCAAAGAGAATTGAAAGTCAGTAGACTTAGTGACATAACGCAAAAATGGAAAGTCCAATACTGCATGTTCTCACTGACAAGTTGGAGCTAAAAAACGGGTAAACACGGACATACAGAATGAAATAATAGATATTGGAGACTACAAAAGGTGGAAGGGTGGGATGGTGGGAGGGAAGTGAGGGCTGAAAAGTTACCTTTTGGGTACAATGATCACTACTCAGGCGATGGGTACACTAAACCCCAGACTTCACTACTACACGATATAGGCATGTAGGAAACCTGCACTTGTACCCCTTAAATATATAAAAATAAATAAATTATATTTAAAAAGAAAGAACACAGAGAATATTCAAGATCTGGTAGTACCTAATTACCAGTATTAGATGAGCACACTTGTCAGGTAATAACCAATCGTCTCTCCAACAGTTACTTGGTGGTTAACTACTAAAATGTAGTCAACATGGAAGTCACGCCACTAATTTCTCTTTTCTTAATAACAGCATTTGTGCTTGAAGTGAATGTTTGTCATATTTGGTTTCCCAGTATATAAACTCATTCTTATTTCAGAGGGATCTCCACTGTGAGAGTCTTTGTTTAAAGGGAGCCATAACTTCCTGTACAAATGAAAGACGGGACCAGACACTCCATCTCTCCACCCAGCCCTGAGAGTTAAGGTGCAGGCATGTGGCCAATAACAGGACAATTAGATACCACAGTGAGAACTTTGAAGCTTGAGCAAGTGACATTAAGACAAAGTAAGAGTTAAAATCCATTAATAGTAGTAGTGACATTAAGAGTTAGAATTCATGAATAGTGGTGGCATGTAGTGATGAAGGTGGTGTTGCAGTTTTGAATGCTGGTGGTTAGCATGCCTAGCATGCCTAGAAAGAGTGGTAGAAAAGTGATAATAGTGGCACTCTAACCAGGTTGTTTCTTTAATGCATTTGTTTCTACTGCCAAGCCTTCCTTAGTTTCTGCTAATTTTAGGAGTCTTCCAATTGTTTCTTTGAGCTACTATTTTGCCAAGTCCATTTCAGATTAACTTAATCATCTTCTGTTACTTAGACTCAAGCAATCAGGGTTATAGAAAACAGAGCCTTAGAAACACATGGGAATAAGACATTGGTTGCCTGTCCTAGGTTGAGGCAAATGTCAGTCAAAGTCATATCAATATTTCAGGATAGAAATATGAAAGCTCATGATACACATGGTTACAAAAGAGGAACTTGGAATGATTGCAAAAGAGAAGCAAGAGGAGTCTAAGAATTCAAGAGAGCAAGGTCAGGTGGCTGCTCTTAACAGCACTTGCCAGCTTAAAAAAAGAAAATAGCAATTTCAAGTCTCCATACTGCATGATGTAAGGCATAGAGCTTACCAGAATATCTTATAGCTCATAACTACATAACTGAGATTGCTAAACTAAGCTGAAAGTTTCACCCTAATGGTTGTTCAATTACGATAACATTGGAATTCCCAGTCTCACCATTTCTCAGTGAAAATAAAAGCATTGATTAGGCATGAGCAAAACTCTTAGGATTGGAAAAGCATCTTGAAACCATAAACCCATGAAAAGTATTTGTCCGAATAAGGGTCTCTTTGTCCTATGGGTGGATTCTCATTCAAGAGTGAAGCCAGTGCTAAAGTCCCAGCTCTTTCAGGCTGTCCATGTCTTTTATCAAACTTAAAGCCTCACATGCTCCAACGAGCTAATTAAAAGCCAAACTGAGTAGGAGGAATCTTACATACACCAAAGTATTGCTGGATTTGGTTATTCTAGATTATTGAAAATCTGACTAGTGAGTATTGGAATGTATTCTGAGTATACTAGAACAAGGGAGAACAAATTTAATCCCAAATCCAACACGGCATCTATTTGAGAGAAAGTCTGAGTATGCAAGACTGGTTCACACTATGCAATATTATGATAGTCCACCCTAGGCATAGGCCCATTGACAAAAATGTATTGGCTGCATATAGAGAAGAGTGTTTACTGTCTCTGGAAGCTAGGAATGTTGGACTAGATGCACATGCTTTTTTCCTGTCCTCACTCTCAAACAATGAGAAATGAACCTGGGGAATGCCAGCATTTGTGAACAGCACTTCAATGATGATTTCCTATATCTTGTGATGCTACAGTTCAGATATACATTCGTTAATTTTAATAGAGTGGGAGGATTCCAGAGTGTGAGATGCAAAGTGGTCACCAAAACAGTAATCAGAGAAGGCAGCAGCACCAGTGTGGGAAACAAGATGGTCCTATTCACAGAGGTCTTAGGAAGTAGTTAATTGATCACAGGACCTGTAGAACAAAAATAGATGAGTAGGCATCAAGGCCTGAGAATTTTAGAGCAAACCCATGTTTGTTTCAGCAAATAACTATTCTCTTTTTGACAAATGACACTTGCCCTGTAACTGGGTACTACCGGAGATCAATCTGGTCATGGGATATCAAGTGACATGCAGTCTGAGTTGACTAGTAAGACTTGGACATTATACGCTCCTCCGTTCACAAATTCACGTCTTCCCAGCAGCAGTCCATCATTAACTCAAAGTAATTTACGTGGAATTGGAAGTGAGCAGATCAGGAAGGCACTAGTAATCATTCACACTCCCAGCGTATTTACTCCTTTCACAATTCTGCCCCCTCTAAAACTACCTATGGCTTCCTGAGTAATTTTCCAGGAGAATCAAAATACTTTGTGATCATCATATAGACATACTATTGACACTAGACAGAATGCCACAACATTTCAGCCAGTTTAGAAGTGGCCCAAGAGGATTGTGGAGAGGAGAAATACATTGGTAATCCCTCAGTGGCTGCATTTTATGAACTTTACCTGTGGAGAGATTATCTGGGGTAAGTTTCCACATTGATTCATTGTCAGTAAATGATGGTTTTGCCAGGCATTCTAGAACAAGATTAGAGAATGTACAACAAGAATCTAAGGGTAAAAGGTATGTGAGAAGTCCTCTCAGAATGAGCCCAAAGTTTGAAAACATTCACATCTCCTATGAGTATTCGCAAAAAGTCCCCTAAAGTAAGAGGACTTTAAATAAACATATACACAAGATGATCTACCCTGTGGGCATCTGTTAGCTTCCTTTCCTAACCACTCTAGTGCTTTAACTTATGAACAAGGGGGCAAGGTAGCATAGTTAGAGGTTAGCCATAAATTCAAAACATGGATTTTAAACTTGACCAAGATGATTAGTCCATTGACTGGTTTGTCCCCAGCAGCAGCAAAGCCAGAGCTCCTATTCTGATAATCATACCTCAAGGCCACCAGTCATATGTTCAGTGCCACATTGATTCTATTTGACCCTGTTCCCTCAAGAAGGGGATAATAGTCGGTCCTTGCAAGTATGAGGGCATTCTGGATTTAGATTTGTCTTCTCTGCCCATCATTTTTCTGCAAACAACATCACCTGTGAACCTACTGAGCACCTTGCACATAATCACAGTATCCCATAAAATAAAATTGCATTCAGGAATTCACTTTGCAATTAAAGAACTCAGGCAGTGGGATGATGCCAATGGAATTCAGGATCTCAAAACACAGCATCAACCAGATGCAGATGGCTTTGTAGAGTAGTGACGTCATCTATATGACTCAGTCTCAGCAGGGAGATAACTCCTTCTCAAGTTGGGGTGCAGTCTTATAAAATGCAATATACATTCTGATGCTATGAACAATAGATGTTACTATCTTTCCATAGGTAGAATCAAAGTCTCTGGAATCTAAGGGGTAAATGCATGAATAGTCACTCTCAGATAAATGACCCATTTACAATTTACTTTTACTCAGCTTCCTCAATTCTGGGCTCTTCCAAGTTTAGAGGTTTTCATAATAAAGGGAGAACTTCCATCTCTACAGGCCAATGATATTATGGGATCTGAGACTGCCGCATAGACATTTTAGGCCCCTATGAATAAACAGGCTGTCTTCTGTTACTGATACTATCTTTTTGATAGTCAGGATTAGGATTGTTGCATGCAGCAAAAAGGGTTATGGAAATGGAAACCAGAGGAGCCTTTATGTTGACTCATTATTCTATCATTCCCAGTGGCGGAAAATAATGGACCTTTACATCCCTTGTAGATAGGATCGCCAACATTTGGGTTTCCACGCTGGGTAAGAAACCAGATCAAATGAGTTGCTAGGGAGAAGCAAAAGGAACACGGATTGGTTGTGGAGAAGGAAGGTGCTAAACACTAACTTCATGAACTAGCTTTCTTGCCAGTTATCCATAATTTCTAGAGCCTTCATCCATAATTTCTCTTTGTTGTGGAAATGTGATTTTATATGTTTCAATTTCCCTTTTGGTTTCTATCTCTCTCCCCCACAGTTACCTATAGGGTGTGTTGTCTGTGGCCAACTTTAAACTTGCTCCATAGGTTGCAGAATATCTAACCAAGATCACCGCAGAATAAGGAGAGAAATGGCCCACCACCTGGAAGGCTGTAACGTGGAGCCATAAGCAGATATTGAGAATGTGGGATGTCTCCCTTTGGGGAAAAGGAGTAGGTATATTTAATTGCCCATGGAGTTGCGTCATATTGAGAGGTATTGTTTTAAGATTAGTGTGGAAGAAATATGTTATCTGGAGACTGGATAACCAAATAGGCTGACTGTAGTGGATATTGTCTGCCCAGCATAGAAACCTCAGTCCCACTGTGGGGACTTCCTCCTTGGATGAGTGTCCGTGACAACCTCCAGTAGCAAGCGTGCTGATGTAGCCATGAAGAAGGTAGTGCCTGTGGGGGTAGCATACCTGGAATGTAACTGCAGGGTGACCTCTGCTGTGTTCCCAAGTGTCTGGCCTCTGCATTCCCGTCCATTTTCTGAATCCATTTCTCCAATCATTTATTTGTTCTATGGATGACCTGATTCACTTCCATAAATTTATTTTCTGCTTAAATTAATAAGAGTAGATGTCTGTAATCTGCATCCAAGAATGCTCACTGATACATGGGCAGTGTCATAAACAGGAAAGAAAAATATCCAGTGCTGTAATTAGAAAGAAAGATGAAAGTCTTGTGTATATTTTACTGTATCAACAGCTAATGTTTCTTGAAGATGCTTAAAAAATGTAACCAGTTTAATTATTATAAATGGATACAATGGACTGAATGTCTGTGTCTCCCCTAAATTCCTGTGTTGAAATCCTAATCTCCACTGTGATGGGGTTAGGGAGTGGGCCTTTGGGAGGTGATTAGGTCATGATGGTGGAGCCCTCATGAATGGGATTGGTGCCCTTTTAAAAGAGGCCCCAAAGAGCTCTCTTCCCCTCTTTCTGCCATGTGAGCATACAAGGAGAAGTCAGCAGTCTGCAACATCGAACAGGACCCTTACCAGAACCCAACCAGTCTGGCACCCTGAACCCAGACTTCCAGCCTCCAGAATGGTGAGAAATAAATTTCTTTTGCTTATAAAACACCCAGTTCATAGTATGTTCTTATAGCAGCCTGAACAGACTAAGACAGAGGATATCTGTGGTATATTTTTAACAAAATCATAGACAGCACAAAGCAGGCTGGAGAAAGAATGGGGGTGGAGTATGAGGAATAGAACACAATGAATGACTGAATCAGAATGGAATAGATACACAATCAGCTGGAGTCAAGGTCCAAATAAAATAAGATGAAATATAGTAAATACAAATATGGAATTCTGCATGATCAAAAAAACAGCTGCACCATTATAAAATGTAGAAAGAGAGGGAGCAGGATGTGTTGACAACTTCTAGTGTGTTTCAGAAATATTTAGGCATTGTATTGAATAATAGTCTTTGAATGTATCAACACTGTACCTCTCCCCTTCCCAAGCTGCTTGCCTCTTGAGTATCTGTTTTCTCAACAAGCTCCTCCAGTGACTTACCCAGAAAGGAGAGTAAAAAAGGAAATGTACCATGATGTCTCCTGAGACTGTACCTTAAGAAATTCAGCCCTCCTGATCCAGTATTCAGAGAACAAGTCTGCCTTCCTCTCTCTCTGTCTCTCTGTCTCTCTGTCTCTCTGTCTCTCTCTCTCTCTCTCTCTCTCTCTCTCTCAGCGGATCTCTATCACAACCAAGGACCTTCTGGCTTGGAGCTATGAGTACTCTCCTGCGCAGGAGGTGCTGCTTGGTGTCAGGTGTCTGGAATCCTCTTGCTTCCACCTCTGGTGGCTTGGATTTTATTCTTTCTCAGAAATGCATGTGCTTCCATGCACTCCATTCTCCAGAAGTACCCCTGAGCTCCTCCACTGGCTCCAAGATTGCATCAATAGTGAAAAAAATCTTGGCAATCACCAGAGCCTGCCATCTCATGCTCCCTCTACTAAAATATTGACTGCCTCCTACCACAGAGCCCCCAGAAAACTGACAAAGTGGGTCATTTCTAGCTTAGACGGAGGAAATACTTTATTTGAATATATGATCTGTGCTAAAACCAACCTGATAGGATCCCATCATCTTCCAGTTTTCCTTTGCCCTATCCTTCCTTGTATTGTTATTCCACTGTATCCCACCTCAACCCATCTCTCAGTGGGTCTTATTTATTTATTATAGACAAGGTCTCACTCTGTTGCCTAGGATGGCATGCTGGGAATACAGGTACATGCCACCATGCCTGGTTAATTTAAAAAAAACTTTTTTAGAGATGGGGTCTTGCTGTGTTGCCCAGGCTACTCTCAAACTCCTGGACTCAGGAGATTATCCCACTTCAGCCTCCCAACTAGCTGGGATTACAGGGATGAGCCACTGGCTCTGACAGGGTCTTTCTCCTCTTCTGGCACCTTGGGTGGATTATTCAGAGACAGACTCCAGGATGAAAATTTGGCTGTAGGAGATTTATCGGAGAGTCCTCTCGTGAACGTTATTCAAAAGAGGATGAGGGAAGCAAAACTGAGCAGAGAGAGAAAGTGAACTGTGATGCAATTGCAGCAGAAGCCTCAGAGGATCCCACAATCCCACCAGGGCCTCTGAACTGGATGCAACTTCAGAATTGTCTCAAATTGAGGCAACAGAGCTGAGACTTTGTTCCTCCCACCACCGCCCTGCCCCCAGCCCCAGCTCATGAGCCATTAGAAGCAGACTATCCCAGGGACAGAGTGTAAACTTGCCCAAAGTAGCTTCCTTCAGCTAAGAGCAATTCCAAGAGAGGGATTTGGCTGTTAGACAACAGGAGCAAATACTCTCAGTGCCTTGGAGAATGAGTGTCCTTGCTGGAGGGGGTATCTGAATAGCACACCACAGCATCCGCTACTCCTGGGCATATACAGCCCAACACACCCAGGAGGAGAAGCTAGCTCTACAACTATCTAGTCAGAGGAGTGGGCCACCTCCCTTTCCACTCCAGTGAAACTCATGTTGCTACTTTTCCTAAGCACTCTTTTTATTAGAAGGATTCTATTCCACTGGAAAATACTTAATGCTCTAGTGTTGGGACTTCTAGTGAGCTTTCTTCACATAGCTCTTTAGTGCTTTTCTTAAGCTCCTGAAAACAAAAAACCGAGGTGTCCCACACAGCAGTGGAAGGACCTTAGAGATGGCCTCATCTAGTCCCTTCATTTTCAGGTCCTCGGAGACATGGCACATCTCCCCCAAGGCCACACATCTACTTAGCATTGGAATCAGAACCATAACCCTAGTCGAGTGGTCTTTGTTCTCCCAGCAAATGATGCTCTGATGCTGATGCTGTACTATATAACTCATTAAGTTTGGAAGTATGTGTCCTGGCTCCTCACTGAGGCTGCAAACGGAGCCATTTCTTAAGCTTTTTTACAGAATAACATATAAAACAATAGGAGAACTAGTAAAAGCCCATCTCTACTAAGATTTCATTCAACCACTGGGTAGGGTTAAACATTAATGCATTTTTCTCAGTTTTTTCATACTGCACACTGGTGATTTTCTGGCTATAAGTTATAACAAAGTTTATCATTCAAATGGCCCCCTAAAGTGCAAGTTGTCTTAGAGGAATAAATAGTGTCCAATATGTCTGTTTTTCTGGTAAAGGAGAGAAAAACAGAAAACTGAATAATATGAAAAAGAAACAGGAGGAAAAATTAAAAACACAAGTAGCAGTGGTTTTCGCCCCAGTGGAAAACATACATTTATTGGGAAGAATTCTCAGCAGGAACAGTGGAAATCTTACATTTTCTAGTTCAATTACAACACCAGGATCTTAGATATTGGTAAGAGGCTTGTTTCCAAGAACTCTGATGCTGAATCAATACAGTCCTAAGTGATACATTAGAAGTACTGCAGAAAATGTCCTACCATTATTAATAAATTGTTCCATAGCCTTCAATATATTTTTTCTTACACACTTAGTCATTGTTTAAATTACTGTTTTACTGAAATGAAATCATGAATGTTGGGGATTTAGGAAAAATAATGCTGCAATTTGTAAGCCAGCCAGCCTGGCTGTTCCGTCCACAGGTCGAACCATCAACTTAAGATACACAATGGATTCCCTAGGAAATTCTCAAATCAGCAATTTGTTATGAAAATCCACCATGCTGTCCTTTGGACTCAAATTTGAGAATACTATTCAGATATTAGTTGGATGTGTTTATATTTATTGTTTTTAATGGGATTGTATGGTGCCAGGCAACACTTTTCTCTGTTGGATACTGTTTGGCCTTTGGCAAAGGAAAGAATCTATGCTGCTTAATACCCAGCACATTAGAAAGGGTCCCTTAGCCCTTCCCAAACTCCCGATTCTCTTCAGATAGCAGTCATCTCTTTACCATGAAATAAGGCTTTTCACTCCAAAATTAAAAATCAAGCCTAGAATTGAATGCCTCTGAGAGAAAAGATATATTGATGAAGCATTCATGGTATTTTTGAGGTAATATTGAGAAATGACCCTTCCTACTCTGGACTTTGAGCAGAGATAATACATGTGAGATGTTTGGACACAGCATCTGATGTATACAGTAGCAGGTGCAGAACAAAGTCCTCTTGTGTTAACTAAAGAATAGAATATAGGGCCGGGTGCGGTGGCTCACGCTCATAATCCCAACACTTTGGGAGGCTGAGGCAGGCAGATCACAAGGTCAGGAGATCGACACCTTCCTGGCTAACATGGTGAAACCCCGTCTCTACTAAAAATACAAAAAATTAGCCAGATGTGGTGGCACATGCCTGTAGTCCCAGCTACTCTGGAGGCTGAGTCAGAAGAGTCACTTGAGCCTGGGAGGCAGACATTGCGGTGAGCTGAGATCATGCCACTGCACTCCAGCCTGGTGAAAGAGTGAAACTCCGTCTCAAAAAAAAAAAAAAAAAGTAGATAGGCAGATCCAAATTGGTTGAAGATCTGTACTTGAAAAGTGTTGACTAATGAAAAATGTGACAAAAGCAGAGACTCAAGCGATATGTCACAGGAAATTTACACGTTAGGGCATTTAGTTAGGACTTCTGTTATAATGTCATTTGAGAGGATCCAGAATGGGCCATTCAGCCATTATTCTCTCTTCTACGAGCCTTGCATGGAGGGGTAATACACATTTTACCTTTTGTCACGCAAATTTGGCCTTAAAAAGAAAAGTTAACAGGTTGGATACACAGACACAGAACATGGTAAAGTTAATCCCATGCATAGTTTGGGGGAAGTGGGGAATATTAAAATGTTTTTTAGAGAATCCAGAAAGATGGGCAGCATATATTTTTTCCTCTTTAGAAAAGTTTGGTTTCAGCTGCTTTTGATTTCAGAGAAGTGGACAAACCTAATTGAATCTCTTTTCCATCAATGCAATCAGTTTTATTTAATTTATAGACCATAGCAGAATTCCTTAGAGGTCACCTGTTCTGACCCTGCCGTTTCATGGATAAATAAACTGAGGTCCAGACTTACTGAAGGTCACATATCAGCCTGTGTGGGCACAGATACATTTACGATCTCATCTTACATTCATTCACACCTACAACTCCACCCAAGTTACCCAACGAGGGCTTCTTTCTACTGGGGGCCAACATCTTGTTTCTTAGAAACAAGAAACCATAGAATATTCTGTGGGTCATTTCCATTGGAGAAATAAGTGAGACCACAAAATGTCAGCCACAGAGGATGAGAAGCAAAAGGAAACGAGCTACGAAAGAGCCCACATGGAAGGGACAATGACAACTTGCTTCTTCTGCCCCATTCATACCTTCAGTTCCCTGCCAAGGTAAACATCCAATTTACATATACATCAGTAGGTTAGAACAGCACTGTTATCTCCATTTTACAGAGAGTAAGCTGTGGCATAGAGCAGCCAGAAGATTTGCTTCTGGGAAGACGTTACTCAGGCAAGGTCGGCAGAACATGTGGCTCTGAGACCAGAAGAAATATAAATGCTTCCTTGTGCTGTAATGGGCCTAGATTAAAAAGGTTTCCTGGGAAGAGTGCTGTGATCATAAAGGGCCTCACTTTCTGCCCAAAGTCCAACAAGGGAGAAAAGTTCCTGACTATAGGAAGGAGACAAGGACTGTAATTATGCTGGAGGTAATCCGACAGAAATGTTGTTTGGGGATAAGCTTCTTTGAAGAAAATTTTATGAGTGAAGTTGATGCTTGCCTTTGGCTGGCTGGCAATTTATGATCACGAAAACCCAGAACTGCAACTTTTAATAATGCTAATAAATGTCACTTTTGTCATTTCTTTTATCGTTATTTATAGTAAATTATTTCTTATCCCAATTCGATTCATCGAGCATTTGACGTCTTCTGTGTTTCAGGCCTGTTGACTATACCGAAGATTCAAAGATGCGAAGATCTCAGGAAACCTCAGGCTTTGATGAACAAACAGTCCAGACTTTCAAAATTTGTTGCAGGGTTCCTATAAACCATGCATATTTAAACTTCTAAAACTGGAAACAAAGATAAAACATGGATAACTGGAAATATTCTGCATGACTATTAGAAAAAAATAGCAATAACACCAACTAGGAATGTAAATAACATACTTAAAAGCAACCTGGGCCGGACGCGGTGGCTCACGCCTGTAATCCCAGCACCTTGGGAGGCCGAGGTGGGCAGATCACGAGGTCAGGAGATCGAGACCATCCTGGCTAAAACAGTGAAACCCCGTCTGTACTAAAAATACAAAAAAAAATTTAGCCAGGCATGGTGGCACGCACCTGTAGTCCCAGCTACTCAGGAGGCTGAAGCAGGAGAATCATTTGAACCTGGTAGGAGGGGGTTACAGTGAGCCGAGATCGCACCACTGCACTCCAGCCTGGGTGACAAAGTAAGACTCCATCTCAAAAAAAAAAAGAAAAAGAAATCTGAAGAATTGGCATTGGCAAAGGCATAAGAGACCTTTTCGTGGGGAAAAAAAAAAGTGACTGCAGAAGAAAGCATCTTGTTGATGAGAAAGGGTAGTGGATCCGTCTGCTTATGAGAAAGGATTCAAGAGATAACTTCCATAGCTCCCCGGGGGGCTGCAGGACCCTTCCTGCTCCTGTATTTTCAGACTAACATGTTTCTGTCTTCTGAAATATAAGCTACTTGAGCATTTATAAATTACCTTGCAATATGAGGTAAATTTACTGCTTTCAGGATGACAGGCAGAGTTTGCAAATCTCTTTTTCTTCTTGCTTAATCCCTGGATTTTACCTATACTCTGAATGCAAGTAATGCACATTAGTCAATTAATAGGCTGTTAAATGACAACAGTTCCGGGCAATTTAATTACTGTTGGTAAAATAAGAAATGAATGATTGCATATCAGTAACCAATTCCACTTCCTTTCCTCGGAACAGATTAACTTTGAGTCATGATAGTTTCTCCGGAAAAAAAAAATTGATTGTTTCTGTGAACATATTAGTTGCCATTTCATGTATTACAGAAATTTAAGTTTTTGTGTTGTATTTCTTATCTAGATGGGATGTGGGAAAATTATGCCAATGATATTTATTTTCAAATATAATAACAATATTGACTTTTAAATAAATTAATTAAAATTGTTGATGGAAAGGCCAAGGCAAGAATGAGAGTCATTTGACTTTCTGTCCCTATTCGTCCTCTGCCCACCCTTGCCAATTCTAGACCATTCACACTGTTTTATTAGTTGAGTAAAAATCAAGAGAAAAAATCAAGGAACAATAACCTCAGTTTTAGTGATTTTTTTTCATTTTGCACTCATTTTCCTTAGAATAAACCCCAAAATGTTTAACATAGTCTTTCTTAGTAGTCTGGCTCCAAAGATTTTACATGTTAGTTTGTTTGACGTCTGTAGTCTCAACCATAGTCTAAGTCTGATGAAGGCAGTTACTTAATTGCTTTGGTTCACTGTTATCTGAGGGATTTGAATAGTGCCGAGCCAACATTAACTAATGAGTAGAACAGAAGATAGCTAAGGACAAGATCTCACTAAGAGATCTCTGAATGCATATAAAATAGGGAAGAGTGAATTGTCTAAAAACAATATATAGGAAAAAGTGAAAAATTCTACACTCTACTGATGAAACAAAGGATTGGACTGCATCACATAGGCTAAGATAAAGATAAATTGGACCTGAAAAAGTATGAACCGTGAAAAAGCTGAATTAGAAACAGTAAAACTGTCAATCTTCTGTCCCTACCCACCCGAAGATTAGAAAACTCATTGCTTGCATCTCTGTTGATCATCTCCGTTGATAAACTTGTTTCAGTAGCAATTAGGTGTGTTAATATTTAAGTTTGCAGATGGTTTCTTTAGAGCAATTAAGATTTTTGAAATATAGCCTTCCTCTGCAATCCCCTGTTATTAAATATTTATTGAAAAGCAAAGAAGATTTGTAGTTACATTTAGGAAGGATTATAGGGTTTACAGTTTGCAGGGATGAAACCCCATAACATTCATTTTCAATGATTGGATCATCTTGCCTTACAATTAATTGCTTTATTGCATTGACATCTGGAGGGAGAATTTTTGGATCAAGTGCCAACAAATCCACATACCTTCTTATCCATTTAAATATCTCTTTCAAATACAATCCATTCCCTGTAAGACTCAGTCTACTACTGGAATACTATCTAGGCAGACACAAGTCCACCCTTCTTGTCCACAGTATAAACCATTGCAACAATCTCCTAATTGATTTCTCTGCCTTCCGCTTCACCTTCTACCAGTACATCCTCTATTCTGGAAAGTTATCTTTCTAAAATGTAAAATTGATTCTTCCATTCAGTGGTTCAAAGCCTTCCATAATTTCTCAGTTGATAAATTAAAATCCAAATGGCTCCTGCTAGCAGAGATCTTGCACAGTGTCCCTCTCCAGTTTCATGAGCTGCCACCCAGAACTCTTGCCCCACATCTGGCCATTCATGTTCATGTGCACCTTGCTAGTCTGTGGCTGCGACACTCTCCACATCTTCTGAGCAAGAGGCCTTTTATTTAACCAGAACAGCATAGTGATGAAAAAAGAACAGACTCCAAAGCCAGATACTTGGGTTCAAATCCCAGCTCAGTTCCATAAGAACAGTGTAATTTTGGACAAGTTACTGGTTTCCTGTGTTTTCGTTATTATGAGGCTAACAGTGCCATTCTTATTGAATTGGTTAACACATATAAAACTCTTAGAGTAGTCCCTAGTTCACAGTAGCAGCTCAATAAAGTCAGCTACCAGTACTCACCCTCCAAGTCCTGTCTCCAACATCATCTCCCCCGTGGGGTCTTCTCTGATCTCATCACCTGCCCTCGCCCCACCTCAAGCAGGTCTGATCACTCTGAACTGTTTCACCCACTGTGTTGCATAGAAATCATATATTTATAGATCCAGCTCCCCACACATTGTATGATCATGGTCAGAGGTTTGCTGTGTTCATATTGGTATTGTGAAAACCTATCCCAACACCCAACATGGGTAACATAAAAGAAGCTCAATAATTACATTTAAATAAACGAATGAACAAATAAAAAACACCAAAAAAAGTAAACTGGAAGTGCTGAAGGGCAGGCTTTTGGAGTCCTTCTGAGTGATTAGGCTATGTAGTGGCACAGGCATGAAAGGGATCCAGGCTAGAGCTGATTCCGATCACATGGCTGTTCTCCAGTGAGAGGAGTGCAGCTAAGCCTCCAACACTTTGGCTTTGTAGGGTCCTAGCTGGTGAGGGGTGCAGGGTGTGGAGCATCAATCACAGGGATCCCCTTTTGGGTTCTAGTCACTGGCTCCTGCCAGGAGGCATCTCTCATTTTTCTTTTAGGTCATTTTCTGGCTTATTGAAGCTCGCCTTTTCCAGGGGCCAGGCAGAGCTCCTCCTCTAAAGAGGTTGACGATAGCAAGGAGTAAGCACTGACTTGGTACCTGTCGCTGGGCTCAGTGCTATGCACAATCTATTTCATGACAGTATAGAGTTAACCTTAGTTTCTGAATTGAAATCTATCCCTGCTCCACCACTGAGTAGCTCTGTCCTTGGGCAAGTTACCTAGTTTCTCTGTGTACTGTATCTTCAGAGATAAAATGAGAATAATACTAATAATGATACCCACCTCATAGCACTGTTGTAAGAATAAATGCATTCAATCCATATGAAGCCTTTAGAATAGCTCCTACTACTTTGTAAGCACTCAGAAAATGTTTTCTGTTGTTACTGTAATTATCCCCATTTGACAGATGAGGAAACTGAGGCTCGGACAGATTAAATCACCTACCAAAGGTCACAGGCTACAGAACTGGGACACACAACCACTCTTTCTAAGATTCATCACTGCCCCCACTCCAATAGTAAAATCTCCTTCTGTCTCCAGTCCATCATCTTTCTCAGGCAAGGCAGAGACATATCCCCAGTATGGCTCCTGATCAATGAGGCACAACATGGCACAAGCAAAATCCCTACAATCTGCCCATGCATTTTTTTTTTTAAGACAGAGTCTCACTGCGTCGCCCAGGTTGGAGTGCAGTGGCACAATCTCAGCTCACTGCAACCTCTGTCTCCCGGGTTCAAGCGATTCTCCTGCCTCAGTCTCCCAAGTAGCTGGGATTACAGGCATGCACCACCACGCCTGGCTAATTTTTGTGTTTTTAGTAGAGACAGGGTTTCGCCATGTTGGTGAGGCTGGTCTCAAACTCCTGACCTCAAGTGATCCACCCGCCTCGGCCTTCCAAAGTGCGGGGATTACAGGTGTGAGTCACCGCGCCTGGCCTGCCTATGCAATATTTAGAGCAAACTTAAACTAACAACAACAAAAAATTGCTGCTTATCTGATATTGAGATCCAACTGGAAGTCCTATATTTGCATTTGCTAAATCTAGCCAAGCTACAAGATGTGTGTGTGTGTGTGTGTGTAAAGTCACTTGCACCATCAAAGAACTTTTGTCACCTTATTGCTGGCACCCTTGGGGAACAGCTTAAGTTACAGGGCAGACCACAAAGGCAGACATCCTGTGTCTCCCTGCTCTTATGAAGAGCTCTGAGATATCAGTGAACATCTTCGATGCTAGTAGAAGATATCTGTTAGAAGACACCGAAGTAGGTCTGTTGAAGATGGTTTAGCAAACCCATTAAATAAGAGAAATGGGATCTGATTTCTTGCGAGTGGCTCGTGAACAACCTCAGCTCAGCCCGATTTATGTAGTTTCAAGAGATTTCCATTTCCTGAACATTTTATGATGTTTATTTTCACCTCTGACTTTAGGAAATTTCACATGCATGATTGCAGGTTGAAAAAAATGTGGTAGCTTGTGGGGCTGCCCACTAAAACCATGTTTTCCTAATATTTGGCTTGGGTTAAGTAAGAGATGACACCCTCCTAAAATGATCTTCCTCCTCCCTCCATCCCAGGGACGCAAGATTCACTTTTACCTTTTCCAGCGAACTTTAAACTGTCTCAGATACCATGTGCAGCATCCACACTGCCCTTACTTCA
Organism: Homo sapiens; assembly: GCF_000001405.40. Taxonomy (NCBI): domain Eukaryota; kingdom Metazoa; phylum Chordata; class Mammalia; order Primates; family Hominidae; genus Homo; species Homo sapiens. Next base: position 8,867,330 of record NC_000006.12, on the reverse strand, counting down.
GGAGTCTTACCAAGAACTTGGGCTATTGTGGGTGAAGATCCAGACATCTCACTACTGGATTCCAGACATCCAGACACATGTGGATTTGGGATAGCGTCATGCCATATGCAGGTCAAAGAGTAGCATCCTCTTAAGACTGGAAATAGGGTTGTAGGGTATTACACCTGGCGTTTTCCTCAGACTTCTCCCTAACTTCCCACACCTTGCTTCTTAGTCAAGGACTTTGGTTCTTTCTCTGAGCCTTGCTAGTAGGTGCTTTCAGACAGTGGAATTTTATTGCTTCTCTCTACTTCTGTTCATTCTTTGCTTGCTGTTGGGATTCCTATTTCCCATATTAGGGCTCCTAAATTTACTACAATGGCATAGAATTCCAAAAAGTGAGGATCCTTTGGTACTTTGGCTGCCTGACCAACCTTCCCAGGGCTGAGTCCACTTTCACAAGGAGGAGGAAGAACTCTCATGGAGGAGAGAATGGCCCCCGGAGCCCTAAATGTGGGCTGCATTACCGCTAAAGCAGACAGACTTCCCACTCCGGTTGTCTCATTCTCCTGCTCATTTGTTGTGTACTGTAAAAATCCAGGTGGAAGGATAACTGATATTGACAATATTTTGAGTTAAATTGAGGGCAAATTAATGCTAATGTTCTTATGCTACAACTCTAGTATATCTACTTCAGTATTCTGAACAATTACTTGGTTTACTTGAAGTTGTTTCAATAATTTTTCATTCTGTTTTGAAAGAAATAAGACTCTGAGCATCTGAAGCATGCAGGCAAAGATGTCCTAAATGAATAAAGTTAGGAAGGATGTTTGTCTTATCACACCATCTCTGACATTCCAAATCCTCTGGCTTAGTTTCCCTGTTCTCTACAAATTGGGTCTTCATATTAAAACCTTTAAGAATTGCCTTCCTGAGATACTTTTCTTGTTCAATTCCTTGGAACAAAGATTTATCTCAGCTTTTTGGGTTTGTTTTTTTTTGTGTGTGTGTGTGAAGAATTAATTCTAGAACTTGATTTGGGAATGTTGAAATCAACTCAGGTCTCTTGAGTTACTCCATATTCCATTCAAAGGGAAGTTTCCCCTCTCCTGAATTCCATTAGCCAAACTTTAAAGGCTTCTCAGACAGCATCAGTTTATGTGAAATAGACAGAGGTGGCTGTTCAGCCCACAGCTGCTGACCCAACTGTGGGCCGTAATTCATAGCGTGAAAAGGCAGTGGGCTCAACAGCAAGGACAATGTAAAATTGCCCTTCTGGAACAGGATGATGACTTTGCCTCTGTTGTGATGTTGAGGTTGCTGGCTTCACAAATGGAGGGAAAGGAAAAGGAGGATATTAGGCAAAGAAAATTAGAACTTGAAACATTGGGGGAAATACACCTGAGATACTCTTTTCTAAAGGCTTGCATATTCAATTGCAGATGTTTTTCCGTAAAGCAAACCTGACGATTTTAGTCTCTCATTTAAGGTTTTTACCAGGTGTTTGTTTTATGTAAAAGGAAGTCCAGACACTTTTGTGTGGCCCATACCAGGCACTTCGAAGTCTGGCTTGGCCAGTCTAATCCCCCAATATTTAATTAAAGGTACAAATGTTGTTTCTCTACTCAACTGGAAATGGGAAGGCCTAGTTACAAGAATGAGACAGCATTCCTTGCCCTTAGAACACTGTCTACAGGGGCGGCAAATGCATCTCTTTCAGCCTTTCCCAGTTATCCCACGCTTCACTGGGCATTTTTTTTTTTTTTCAAAACCACTCACAATTCCCTACTTCCTAGCTAAGGCTTGATTGGTCCTTTCTTTTTACATTTGAACATGCAATTTCATTTAAGAAAATTGTATATATAACTTAAAAAAATAAATATATATATTTATAATTGTACATATATGTATCCTTCATGGCCCTGTCTCTGCCAAATGCATGTGTCTGTGCTCTCCACATTCACAGAATTAGTGTGTGCTCTAACAGTCTGTTTTGTCTGTTTTCATGTCTGTTGCCCCTGCAGACAGTGCTCTAAGGGCAGGGAATACTGGCTCATCCTTGTAACTAGGCCTGTCCATTTCCAGTTGAGTAGAGAAACAACATTTGTACCTTTAACTAAATATTGGTGGATTAGACTGGCATTATACTTCAAGACTAAACTACAAATTAAAAAATGATTTACTTTGTACACACACACACACACACACACACACACACTCACACACACCTCAATTCTGTATTATCAAGGTTGCAGTTGCAGAGGACAAGATAAAATTCAGCAAGAAATCTCCAAGTGCCTTCTACACGAAATATGCATAAGAAATATACAATGTTTTGGATACCTTCAAAGGAAATGTGAAGTTATTAGGCCAAAAGCAGAAGATGATTATCATCAGGCACAAAACATGTGCTCCAGACAGTAGGAATGACGCAGGAAAGGCAGAGCATGGACGAAGAATGAGATGTCAAGGAAGGCTCTGAGGAGGTGAGACCATGAGAAGGGTGAGGGGATGCATGGAGGAAGCTCCGGGGTCAGAATCTAAGGACATCACTGGCCAATCAGCAGCTTGGAGAGAAAGATGCAAGGGACAGCTTTTAAGGAAATGCCATCCAATTCCAGATGGAAATCTTGTCAGTCAACATTGGCCTTATGACCTTTGACCTTCAAGCTTTCTTGTTCTCCCACTGTCATACATTTTAAAATGACGAATCATGAAGTATAGAAAAAAGCCTGGAGAGAAAAATCACATTTTAGATTAAAACTCGAAAGCATTCCTAGTAGAAAATACTTAACACTGGTTGTGACATTTTTATGAGAATAGGCCCCAGATTGTCTAAATTTGTCTACTTGACCCTTTTTTTTTTAACTTTTATTTTAAGTTCAGGGATACAAGTGCAAGTTTGTTACATAGGTAAACTTGTGTCATGGGGGTTTTTTGTACAGATTATTTCCTCACCCCCAGGTATTAAGCCAAGTACCCATTAGTTATTTTTCCTGATCCTCTCCCTCCTCCCACCCTCCACCTTCCAACAAGCCCCAGTGTGTGTTGTTCCCCACTGTGTGTCCATCTGTCCTCATTGTTTAGCTCCCACTTATAAGTGGGAACATGCAGTATTTGGTTTTCTGTTCCTGTGTTAGTTTGCTAAGGATAATGGCCTCCAGCTTCATCCATCACTCTTCTTATCATGCCATCTGAATAAATCTGTTGTTTAATTTACTTTCTCTTCATATCAAAAAAGATGAATTGAGCTTGAAGTTGCAGGGTAAGGCGAGGAACTTACATAGAAAAAAAAGAGTGCATCTTTATTTTCTCTAATTTTTGAAATTTCCATCGATTATGAGGGCAGGCAACAAGTCACAGTAGTATTAGCAATATTGTGACTTTCTCACCGGTAGAAGTCACAAGGAGCCTATCCTATTGGAGGTGTTGAAGCTATCTGAAAATATCACCAATGCCCATGACCACTTTGAGATTATACTTGTTATTAGAGTCCCCTCACAGATATTCTTATTGAATGCATTAATGAAGATGTGTACATACAAATACATCTTTTCTTAACTATTTCAACATAATTGATTTCCTTTGTATTCTCCTGTATTTTATTTTATACCTTTAAGGTAGGGTTCTGAGAAGGGCGCCAAGGTCCTCTGCAGGTTGTCCAAGGAGCCATGCACAGATGCATGGAGAGCTCCTGACTAATGTCTATTACATAGGACTAATAGTGTTACTTCCCTCATAGGATTGGTTGCAATGATTATATATGTGAATTCATATCAAATTCTTAGAATAGTAGCTTGAGACATAGCTCCTAATGACCACTACTTCTTACTTTCATTATCAATACAAGGGAAGGCAGAGCCCTGAAGCAGCTAATGCTGCCCTTCAAAAGCCATGCAAATTCACTAGAACCCTCCATCGTCTTTAGAAAGAAAACCTAAAAGGGGGCTGTGACATGATACCAGGCAGTGGATATGTGAACATACATAAATGATTACCAAGAGATAGTTTGCCACGTAACTGTTAAAAAGAAATCAGCTTTTTCATCAATTGGTTCAAAACAAACCTTTTTGATTCCCCCTACTAGTGACAAAACCTGTCAGACAAAGCAAGGTAATAAAAAAAATGTATAGTGCAGTCATGAAAAGTGAACATACAATTTCTTTTATTTATCCTATTGTTTTTATCAGTACAAGTTCTGTTTTTTTCCACTCATCATTTGTTGTCACAGTTGAGAAATTTAGCATTTCACCTAAAATGTTTCGCATGATGAATTATTAAAAATCTTTAACTGCTGGACAACCTTACTGTGGTATAGGTTGTTTTGTTTAGTTTTGTTTTGTTATGTTCCTTAAAAAAATTACCTCTTGTTTTGCTGTGAGGGGAGACAGCTAATGAAAAATGGCCCAGAATTATTGTGAAACAATTGTCTGTAGTGTAATCAAGTCTGTTCTGCCCTCCAACTACTCCAGGATATAATGATACATGTATCATTAAGCAGCTGCTATGGATGCCTGAGGAAACTGGTAGAAATTTGTACCTATTGTTTTCCTTTCTCCAGCCTCGTTTCCCAAGCATCACCCATGTTCTCTCATTTCCCTCATGCTTTTTGTAATATGGCTGCAAAAATTTTGTGAAATACAATCATGTATCTTCACATTTATATAAATGTGCGCATACACACACACACACACACACACACACACACACACACAATTCCTTTTCAAAAAGCAAACCATACAATAAAACATTCCATTCTTCTGGGAACTTTTTGTAATTATGCAATGCATAAAGTAAGCTTTTTAGGATGGCGATTTTTAACACAGAAAGCAGGGGTCAAGGGAGAGTATGTGACTAACGTTTAATTAGAAAAGCTTCCAAAATAAAGCAATTATTTGTTTAATGGCTGCTAAATTTTATGTAGCAGAAGGGCTCAAGCTTGATCTCTCTCCCTCGCTCTCTCTTTCTGTGTGTGTTGGTGGTGTTTGTATGTGTGTGCGTTGGTGGTGTTTGTATGTGGTGGTATTTGTATGTGTGTGGTGTTTGTATGTGTGTTTCTGGTCATCAGGCTGCAGTTCAAAGCTGCATTCTTCATACCACAGTCCTCCAACCCACAGGCAGAGTAGAACAGATTTGCCCAACAGCAAATCATTATCACCAGATAATGATAAGGTGATATCACAGTATTTACAAGTGCTCGCATTTATCTTTCATTTTCTGTCATGATTTCCATCATTGCAATGTTGCAGAAAGAAGAAGCACGGGAAAGAGTGGGTTATAAGGCAGTTTTATTTGTAGGAGATTCTCCTTTCATAGGATATAACATAAAATTCATACATCAAGAGGTTTTCCATTGAATGTTTTCTATTTGCCTATATTTTTGATGTCATAACAGGTCCACAATCCATCAAGCATGCTCTCTATAACTAACGTATGGCTAAAACATGTTTATCTATTGTGCCATGCAATTAATACAGCATATGAATAGATAAGCAACTAAAAGCTGTAATCTTAGTTTAGTGAAATAACAAATTAACATGTTGTTAATAGAACATTAACATGGCCCTGCCAGTAGAGAGCATTCAATGTCATATTTGTGTATAAATGTATTTTGGGACAATTAGAATTATCCTGGGGCAGATTTAACTTGTGCATTTTATATTTGTGTTCTATATCTGCAACAAAAGTACACCTATGATGTGTGTTCAAGTGCCTCTTCATTGCATTGAATGTATGCCCAAACTAACATGATTTGCTTTTCAGCCATATAAAAACAGCGATCCATTTAAACAATAATTTAGAACTGAACAGTAATACACACTTGAGACAATATGGGAAATAGGACAATCTTTTAAATGATTTTATGCTGTCCAACAATTTTCAAACATGTATATGGACAAATGGAAATCTTCCCAAAATGTAATTTAATTTTGAAGAAAATTCAATGTAAAGAGTGGAGCGGAGCCAGGTGTTTTCAGCTACATCCTGCTGAACTACAATTACTGTCCTCATGTAGGATCCCACTAAAGAGAGCATATTATGTGTTCACATATCCAGCATCAGAAATTACCACAAGAAATACTAGTTCATTATCATATTTAAATAAGTTTCACTAATAAGAAACTATGGGGCTATTAATCCAACTAAATGAAGTAAACATTTAGACTTGAAATACAGATGAGTCAGAAAATTGGCTTTAATGCTTTTAGAAATGAGTGCTACAATGGAAGGTACTCACTTCAAGTTGTAACCCTAAGACCAGAAAACTAAGGGAGAACAGGGGTTGGGATGGAAAATGGTGTCAGAATGTTCCAGTATGTTCCAGTATGTTCACTGATCATGGTCCAAGGAAGATGTTCAGTCTTCAGAGGAGATTCACTGTGCACCATTCCATCATCTCTCAGTTTATTCAAGAGATCAACCAAGCCTTCAGCACAGATCAACCATGCTTCCTGTTCAGAGCTCAGAGCCATGCATCACTGCTGATGAAGCCAGACTTCTGGAGCAGCAGTGCCACACTGCTCTGACTAGCTAGGCCCTTGAGCTGTTACTTCTCCTGTGGTGTGAGAACAGTTCTTCCTATCTGTACCTTCTCTGACTCACATTCTAGGTAGCACTAAATACCCTCCAAGGGCACAGGGGAGAAGGAATGCCAGGGCACCATCAGTCATTCTTAAAATAGTCTCATTTCTTCCTATTTCAAAGCATATTATCTCCTTATCAGGACTCATGATCACTTGCTTTGAAATTTGCATTGATATCTAGGCCTCTACAAAACATAAATGTGTTATAAAATAACAAGGTTTAAAAATACTATCATAAAATAAGACGTAACTGTATGTAGGGCACAGTAGAGTAGCCAGAGTCCCTATATCTCAATGTTTTCTGGAAGTGAAGTCTTACAGTAAGACTCTTAGATAGTCAAAGTTAAAATTTCAGGAAAAGTACATAATTCAGCTGGACTTTGAGCCAAAGGGATGAGCTTCAAGTTTCACGCTGCAGGTGAAAAGCATTTTTGAAGATTTGTATTCCAAATCTGTTCAAAACTTTATTTAGCTGAACAACCAAGGGGATCAATACATATGAATAAACTTGAGCCTTTACTGATGCAGCAAAGCTTTGATAAATGTCAATCAAACATCAATTTTTTTAAAAGATGAGGAATGATAAATCTCCCAATATCCTTCTTGATTATGTTCTGTCATTGTGACCATCTCATGGGAAAGAATACAGGTTCTAGAATAGAAATCAACCAGGAACTTCATCAAATTAATATTTTAGTATTGTAACTTACTTCAAGAATTTTCTAAAACAGTTGATTTCAATAGAAAGAAAAAAAAACACCCAAGTGTACTATTTCAAGTATATACATAGGTTTTCCAAAAATTATTGAATGGTAATAGAACTGGAATGATGCCCTGAACCAAACCTCATCTAGTCCTCACTCTCATTCTGCCAAAATCTAGGTTCCAAACTCTAAAAGTAAAATAAGTAAAGACAGGCTGTAATCGGCTTTCTCTCTTCCTGAAACCTACTGAAAGACAATGGAATTCTGTGTCAAATTAGTTGGCATGCCATTCAGATGTTAGTAGAAAGATCTTAATGCTAAAATACATCAACATTCAATCTTTTGTGGTTTGTGGGAATGGAAAAACAAACACCAAATAAGTCCCGGTATTTGAACCACAGCAGGGTAGGACATTTATAAAATTCTCCTAAGGAGGCAATTTGACAAAGACCAAAGAGGGCAAAGAAGCTAGTCTGGGAGCCAGGGTGTGTTTGTAGCACAGAGTGCCATCAGGAAGGCTTTGCACTCATCATAGAATTCATTGCACGTGGTCCCAGATGAAAAGCTATATTTGTAGACAAATGGTACATTTCAGAGAAATTACATCTACTATAGCTATGCAAGAGTTTCAATCTAACTTATCTAAGAAATCATGAATTTTAGTACTTTTTCATGCAATCAATAAAAATTGTAGGAAGTGGAACTTGGGACTGCATATTAATCTTGCATCCAGCTCCTTGCTAGCTTTCAACAGCAACTATTCATCTTGTTGAGCCTATAGAAGTGATTTGTTTCATCTGTACACTCCATGCACAACTAAATATAAAATCAACTTCTATTTAACAAAGTGGACTAACAGCATGAGGCCTATCAGGGTAGCCTGCAACCTTGGTGTAACATTGCAAATGCCTGCAACATGTCAGCACTGAAGCCAAGCCATTAGAATGTTGCTTAATAATGAAGCTGTATCGATAGGTTGACTAATTGGAATTTTCCATCGTAAGTTGCTGACAGACCTGGCTCTGATTTTGTTTCCAAGTGCTTCAACAAATATTTCTCCATGCCTCGAAGTTCTTCAATTACTTAATCCACTTACTGGAAATCAAGTTAAAATTATCCATTAAGCAAATGACTCATTCTCATTCAGCTAAATGAGGAGTGCAAATGGCCTTCACCTTTTTAAAAAAGTGAATTCTGCCCTGGTCCGTGTTTTACAGGTCTTCATCTATTTGGCTGTTATTCTGCATTTAATAAATGGGGCCTAGACCATTGGCAAGTATAAAAACAGATTGGAACGTTGGATGTCCCCATCAAAGTCTATTTAACTTCCATGGAAAGGAAGAATAGATCACAATCATTGTTACCCCGCAAAAATTCATCTGAGCTTTCTAAATTCTGTTTCACATTCCCCAAATTTCAGCATAGTCACCCACTGTCACATGTATGTCCAAGTGCATGCGTGTGATGCCTGTGTGCTCGCACACACACACACACACCATCCAGCTTTGATTCTTGGCCATTTTTCTTACCAAAATGGTCATCGCCAACTAGGATCCTAAAGATGTGAGGTTTTGTGCCAGCCTAGATTGATTTCAGAGTGACAGCTTTAAGTAAGTGTGAGGATATTAGTAGCGGTTAACTACGGCTTTTGTAACAAACCACTCTGAAACGTGGTGGCTTACAACAACCATCATTTATTTTTTCTCACCATTCTGTGGGTTTGCTGGAGTGTCCCTTTGCTGATTCTGCTTGTGCTCACTCATGTGGCTACGTACAGTAGCTTGAGGCTGGGAGGTTTAAGATGCCTTGGTCACATGCCTGGCCTTGGTGCCAGCCTTTGGCTGTGGCATTTTGGTTTGATTTCTATCCACGTGGCGCCTTTTCCCCTGATAGACTGGACAGGCTTCCTTACATGGTGGCATTCAGAGTGGCATCCTAAGAGATTAAAGAGTTGAAAGCCACAGACTTTCTAAGTTCATTCTAAGTCTCGGGTCTGGACATGGAAGTTGTACCATGACACTTCTGTCTTTTTTTTTTTTTTTTTTTTGAGACAGAATTTTGCTCCTGTTGCCCAGGCTGGAGTGCAATGGCGTGATTTTGGCTCACTGAAACCTCTGCCTTCCGCATTCAAACAATTCTTCTGCCTCAGCCTCACGAGTAGCTGGGATTACAGGCTTGAGCCACCACACCCAGCTAATTTTTGTATTTTTAGAAGAGATGGGGTTTCACCATGTTGGCCAGGCTGGTCTTGAACTCCTGACCTCAAGTGATCCTCCCCCCTCCCCCAGCCTCCCAAAGTGCTGGTGTTATAGGCATGAACCCTCGTCCCCACTTCTGTCATATTCTATCTGCCAAAGCCATCAGAAAGCCATCCCAGATTCAAGAAGTGGGACAGCAACCTCACCACTGAATGAAGCAGCAAAGACATATGACAAAAGGGAGTGGATTCTAGAGTGGAAGAAATCTATGGTCATATTTTTCAATTGACAGTGATATCAAAGTTGAAGGAACGTTTTCTTGAGGAAGACGCACTGCTCAGCCATTTCCCCTTGTTGGTGGTGTAAAGAAGTGGAAAATGCCATTGTCTTTTCACATTTTTTCCTATGATGTGGCTCCCTTGTGCTTATTAGAGATTGGCTATTTAAAGTTCTTCCCACTGGAGAGAGCTCTGGTGTGACCTCAAGAGGAATGTGGGTACAATTATAGCCTTGCATGCCTGTCTTTAATTAAGGGTAGGAACTGAGCACTTAGCACAGGCCCTGTCACCTAGGAGCTGTTTAATACATAATAAGTAAATAAGGAAAAGATGGGCTCACCATAGAGAAAACTTACTGACCCTTTCTTTCCCTGATAGTTAATTTTTCAAAGACTAGACTTATATTTATCAGAATCAGATTCAGAAACATGTATTGAGTAACCACCATGTGGTCCCATAGGGTTCTGTGCATTTTGATGTTCATCATCTCACTTTTATCCGAAAGGCCAACCTGACCATGAACATTAATGGAGACAGCTAAGAGGAAGAAAAGTTTAAAGAATAATTTCTCTGGCCCTGAATACATTAGAACCTCTTCAATCTGCTCATTTTGTATTCCGAGTTGCCATCAAACCATCACTCCCAACATGCAATTCAATTCCAGGGCTATTTTTGTGATTGCATTTTATTACTTCTTATGTTAATATATGAAGATACTAAATTTATCCCACACTTCATTAACATTCTGTGAAATATTTTTCTTTCATCTTGACTTTTCATTTTAAAAATTAACTGTTTGTTTGCTAAGAACATTCTATTATTTAATAAGTATTAATCTTTGAAGGCTGTCTTTCCAACGATAAAATGTAAATATTCCACATTAAGAATTTAGAAATGGCCAGATGTCATGGCTTGGGCCTGCAATCCCAGCACCCTTGGAGGCCAAGGTGGGAGGATCACTTGAGCTCAAGAGTTTGAGACTAACTTGGGCAACATAGGATGACCCCGTCCCAATAATAAATTTTAAAAATATATTATCTGGGTGTGGTGGTGTGTGCCTGTAGTCCCAGCTCCTCAGGAGGCTTAGGTGAGAGGATCATTTGAGCCCAGGAGGTGAAGCAGTAGTGAGCCAGGCTGCGGTGAACCATGATCATGTCATTGCACTCCAACCTGGGCAACAGAGTGAGACCCTGTCTGAAAAATAAAAATAAAAAAAAGAAAAAGAAAATAATTTAGGAGAATTGCCACTCTTAACTCAGTGGAGTGTCAAATTAAAAAGCAATATTTTATGTGTACACTAAAAGAAAATAAATCTAAGTGTTTTAGTGGGTGAAAAGGGAGTAGAATACAGAGATAAACTTTTCTTAAAAGAAATTCACCATTAGAAACCATTGAGAGAGAGAGAGAGAGAGTATTCACTAAGGAACCTAAAACAAGAGAGAACTTTTTAAGAATATAATTTTGATTACACTCTTTACTCACTTCAGATGTGTCTGTCTCAGGGAACTAGAAGACAGAACCATAAAACATTTCCATTTGGGGAAAGCACTATTCTGTTTTTGTTTGTGACTATCATGAAAGTCATTGGTTGGTTATACGTGAAAACAACACTGCCAAAAGATATTGAAATAAAATGACAATTAATATGTGCTCAACTCACTTCAAAGAGACTGAAGTTTACATTAAAATTTCCCAAGTATTAGCTATTTACATTTTTAAGAACTTTTCTTAAGAACTGGAAAATAAAAAAATTAAAAAAAAAAAAACCACCATGAGGTGACCAAAATCAATACCTTACATGATGTCTAAAAGTGATCTGATGACCAGCATAGTTTATAAAACTCCAGGGAATGTGGTCTCTATAGCAGTTGATTCCTTCATGCTGGAGTAACTGAAGGTTCCTGGTTTCTAGAGAAACCAAAACAGATGCAAGTTATGTAATCAAGTTAATATGTATTGCGAGCCCACAAGGTACGGGGCTTAAGTAACAGTGTGCGGATCTCACATACAGGAGCAGCTGTGGTTGCCTTACAACCTCTTTGTTTAACGGGGAGTGAAAAAGCCACACACATCTACAACTGATAACAGAAGATAAAATATTTTAGGGAGGCATTCTACAGATAAAATAGTTTACTTTTGGCTGAGTGTGGTGGCTCATGCCTGTAATTCCAGCACTTTGGGAGGCTGAGGCAGGCGGATCACTTGAGGTCATGGAGTTCAAGACCAGCCTGACCAACATGGTGAAACCCCATCTCTACTAAAAATACAAAATTAGCCAGGCGTGGTGGTGCATGCCTGAAATCCCAGCTACTCAGGAGGCTGAGGCAGGAGAATCACTTGAACCCGGGACGGGGAGGTGTTGCAGTGAGCTGAGATGGCACCATTGCACTCCAGCCTGGGCAACAAGAGCAAAACTTTGTCTCAAAAAAAAAAAATTTACTTTTAATTGCATATAACATAGATTTTCCTTCTGATATTTAATATTTTATTATCTAGTGACTAGTCATTCTATTATAATGATGCCAGTGGTAAGTTGAATGCAATTTAAGGAAGTTGGTGTGTGTCTTATCCCTGCAGATTGGGTCTTATCTATGATGTTTTAATGAAGAATTTTATAAAATTTTAGAATGCAAAGAAGAAGAATGCCCTAACCTTTATTAGATGGAAAATGCATTAATATATTAACAACTTAATTAAACACCATGGCCATCAGCTTAAGCATTGGTGTCCAAACTTACCTGTGTTCCAAATCACCTGGAGGCCTTGTTAACAGAGCTCCTGGGTCCCACTCCTAAAGGTTCTGTATTCGATAGGCCTGGAATGAGGCAGGACTTTGCATTTCTAACAAATTGGTGATACAAATGCAATTGGTCCAAGGACCAGTCTTTGAGAACCACTAGACTAGTCTTCCTTGTAACCCAAAGGTTTCTACTGTCTTTCCATTAGAATCACATGGGGAACTTTCAAACTATAACAACTGGACCACAATCCAGAAACGAGTCAGTTAGTCCCTCTGTCTGCTGTTGGATCCAGAAATTGGCGTTTTTTTTGTTTTGTTTTTTTTGAGATGGAGTCTTGCTCTGTTGGCATTTTTATATAATTTCCCCAGATGGTTGTAAAGGGCATCCAGGGATGACAGCCACTGATATAATTCAAGGATGGTGTTTTAAGAAGTCATTTTGAGGTCAGCACCCACTGTCTGTTCCAGTGCTCCCCTTCATCTCAGCCCCAATTTGCCTTTCCACCTCTCCTTCCTCCAACTCCCAGGGCTCCTCTGTTCCTCTCATTGTTTTCCCTACTCTTATCATCCTGTTTGGTCACTCCTCCATCCTTGGCTTTCCTGCTCATGTGTCCCTGGGGCCAGTGCTGGGAACCAGCCTTGAGAAGGAAGGCATATTGGACCAGAAGTCAAAGAACCCATGCACTAGCCTCCACTTTGCTATGAAATAGCGTAATGAATTTGGAAACACTTCTGCGTATCAGATTTTCAACTTTATAAAATGGTGGGGTGGGGTTTACTTTTAAGTTATTGTATTATTTTCTAATATTCCCATCCAGCTCTAAATTTTAAAGACTCAGCCTGATCAACATGGAGAAACCCCATTTCTACTAAAAATACAAAATTAGCCGGGCGTGGTGGTGCATGCTTGTAATCTCAGCCACTCAGGAGGCTGAGGCAGGAGAATAGCTTGAACCCGGGAGGCGGAGGTTGCCCTGTCCCATGGGAGCTGGAGCCCTCATGCTTCTTCATAGCTCTGGCATTGCTTTTGTCCTGACTTCGGCTTAGAAATCTAACTTCAGCTTCTTGTCCTCATTTTTTATTAGCTTCATCTATAATCAAGACACTCATCTCTCTCTCTCTCTCTCTCTCTCTCTCTCTCTCTCTCTGTGTGTGTGTGTGTGTGTGTGTGTGTGTGTGTGTGTGTGTGTGTGTGTGTGTGCATGTATCCTATCTGATGACCTAACCTGTGTCCAGACTTTTCTCTGTTTCTGAGCAATTGGTCATGACCTTTTTGGCTCTCTACTAAACTAGATTTTTGGTTGCTGGATTGTTTTAAATCAGAATAACTTTACAAGTAGGCAATGAATTTCCTTGTAACTATTGGAGAAACCTGGGATAGAAAACCTGCTAGGTCTCATTACTTCTTCTCCTATGCCGCAATTTTCTCATTTGGAAACTGGGGAGAATGGCCTCTATAAGATAGGATTACTGTGAAGATTAACTGAGGCAATACAAGGCAACGAATGGAAGTACCTTCTCACATTCAGCCTAGAACAAGGTAAAAAATCAGTGGCTCTTAAAGCTCTTTCTGCTTTTTTCATTGACAAACATAGTTACTGGCCTTTAGTTAGCAGGGTGAACTGCTGTGGACCCAGGCTGGGCTTCTGATTGGAGATAGAATTTTAAACTAGGTGATCAGGGATGGGTAGAATTTAGAAAAACACAGAGAACTTTTTCTACCTTGGGAAGAACGACATGGTCCCATGCAACAGCAAAGATGTGAATGAGGAGCGTCAGGGGAACAGTGCACAGGACACCTTAATGGTAAGAAGACACAGTGATGAGCAGATGTGAGGCTGAGTGTGTAGCCAATATCCATTGAGCCCTTACTCCATGTTTGGCAGCAGCATGCTAAGGACTGCATCTGTCACCCTCATTCAAACCTCACTATATCCTAAGAGTCTTTACTCTCATGGAGAAAGAAACTAAGGCTTACAGAAGTTGTATGGCCAGCCCGAGGTCAAAGAGTTATTAACCTCAAAGTCAGTGCTTAACCCTGATCCTCACAGACCAAAAATCTGTGGGAGGTTCGGTTTGACAGGTCAGTTAAGAGAGAAAGAGAATTCAGGAGGGTCTTCAGACAAAAGCAGTACATTAAAAGCAATACAAAAAAAAAGATGAGCCTTAACATACTGCTCTGGTTTTCCTAAACAAAAGAAAAAATACAGCAGAAGCAAGGAGATAATCCAGATGGCTATCTAGATGTTACTTCCTGGAAGCAATACTAATGTTTTCATTCATTTTGCACGTGGACATAGTGGTTGCCACACACTAGGGACAGAGCTCGCTAAGCAGATAGCCATTCTCGTGGGAGCTCATGGTTTAGCAGGGGAGCTGGAAAGTAAATAAGTAAACAGAGAAAACAAATAAAAACAGATGATATGAGGCTATGAACAAAATGAACACTGTATGACAGAAGAAGCATCTGAGGAAGTGACAGCTGAACTGAGTCCCAAAGGTAGAGAATGAATCAGCCATGGCAAAAGCCTGATGAAGAATGTTCCAGGCTGAGAAACTGCTGAGTTAGGAAAGGGTTGCTTGGCTTCCAGAAACAGAAAGGAAGCTCACATGGGTCATGAAGATTCTGGAAGGGTGGTATAGAATGAGTTGGGAGAAATAGGCAAGACCTAAATTGTGCACGACCTTGTAGGCCTGAGAGCAGTGGAAAACTATTGAAAGACTGAGCAAAGGAGAAAAATGATCCCATTTGTATTACAAAAAGATTGCTGTCACTGCCATTGAACAGGGCTCAAAGAAGAAAAATGCAGAGCAGTAGTCCAGAAAAGAGATAAGATAAGCATATAGCAAATAAATTTAACAACTCAAGGAAGATCAAAGCTTCAGTAGGCTAGAGAGATGGATAGAGGGGGATATAGTAACAGTCCAGGGCTGCAGCAACTCTGGAAAATACTAATGAGTTATTAGGAGTTTCCCTCAGGTAGAAGAACCAGAGAGGCAGGAAGATGGACTGTTCATGGCAGGGAAGATTCATAGAGCCCATACTCTAAGAACTGGATGTTCCAAACACATTCAAAACAAATTGTAATAGCTAATATTTCATAACACTCTGAAATGTGTGTACATATCACCTTCTTGAATCCTCAGCACAGCTCTATGAAGTAAATATGTAAATATGATAGTTATCATTCTTGCTTACAGATCAAAAGAACTGATTTGCCCAACACAATAAAAGAAATAGCCCCATCAGCTAAAGACATCTATTCCCCTACTATTCTAGCTGGATTGCTTGAAGATTGGAAACATGTCTTATCCCTGCTGGTAGATTGATTATATTACAATAGTTTTGTAACCCAAAGTTGTCGATGATAAACCTGAGAATTAGGACACAAGTGGGGTAAAACCTTAATGATTTGATGATGAGATTAAATTGCAGTAACTGTACTCCACCCTCTAACCCAATGGTTCTAAATGTTTGGTCCCCAGACCAGCGGCAGCATCAGCATCACCCGGTGTATTAGCTCCCAGGACTGCCATAACAAAATACCATGAACTGAGTGCCTTAAAAAACAGAAATGTACTTCTCACAGTTATAAAGGCTAAAATGTCTAAGATCAAGGTGTCAGCAGGCCTCCTGAGGCCTCTCTTCTTGGCTTGCAGATAGGCGTCTTTTCCCTGTGTCCTCATCTCCTCTTTTTATAAGGACACAGTCATATTAGATTAAAGCCTACCCTCATGACCTCATTTAACTTTAATTATCTCTTCAAAGATCCTATCTCCAAATATAGTGTGTTACGGCTTCAGCATATAAATTGGGGGAGAAGGGTAGAAACTCAGTCCATGATACCTGAGAATATGTTAGAAATGGCATTTCTCGGGTCCTGCTCCAGACCTACCTAGTTGGATACTCTGGGGGTTGGCCCAGCAATCTGTGTTTTCACGGGTTCTCCAGGGGGTTCTGATGTAGGCTCAAGTATGAGAATCACTGATCTATCATAGCACTATTTCCCTTGACAAAGAAAAGGGAGAGAAGTTAAGAGCAAAATTTGAAGGACAGTTGGAAACACGAAGACATCAGCACACAGGAATACTGAAACACAGAAAAGAGAAGAGACAAAGAAAGGCCTGAATGAGGAGTGAGGGACATCTTCTGAGTACCCTGGTGGACCTCAGTTCATACTTACAGCATTCCTGATTAGGCAACGAGCAATTTACTTGATGGCACTGGTTGCCTTGTGGAATAGGCATCCACAATGTTTAAAAGAAAAAGCTCGGCCAGGTGCAGTGGCTCACACCTGTAATCTCAGCACTTTGGGAGGCCAAGGCGGGTGGATCATCTGAGGTCAGGAGTTAGAGACCAGCCTGGTCAACATGGTGAAACCCCATCTCTACTAAAAATACAAAAATTAGCTGGACATAGTGGCACGTGCCTGTAATCCCATCTACCTGGGAGGCTGAGGCAAGAGAATCACTTGAACCCGGGAGGCAAAGGTTGCAATGAGCCAAGATCATGCCACTGCACTCCAGCCTGGATAACAAGAGTGAAACTCCATCTCAAAAAATAAAAAAAGAAAGAAAGAAAAGAAAGAGCTCTTGCTGCTCTAATTGTACCACACGGCCCTGCTCAGCCCTTCTTTGACAAATGTTGAATACTTCATCTGAACCTTGAGCTAGACCAATAAAGTCATATTGCCCAGAGATACTATTACTGAAGAAGCTGGTCTCCCCAAAAATGGGGTCTTTACCTGTTCAGTGCCACAAAGCCAATACATAAAAATGAAAGTGAGAGTCAAATATCGCCGGCTTTATTCAATGGCCATGGAACTGAGAAGCAAGAGCTGGCTCACAAATCAACTTCTCAACTCAGTAGAGCTGGGAAGCCACAGATATAGGACATCTTTAATGAAGGGGTTGGGCACTAAAAGCAAGGGGGGAAATGTTCATGTCTTTTCTGGGAATGGGTGGAGAACCTCTCAAAATTAGAATTTTTGTCCTTTGGCAGTTTCTTCTGGTCATTGTCATGGTGATTGTCAATTGTCATGGCATTGGTGGGAGCGTCATTTAGCATAGAAATTAGATTATAAGGAAGTTACAGGTTCTTCCAAGGTCATGTGAGCTGTCATTGTATCCCACCGGCCTTAGCCAGTTTGGTCACAGGGGGATATTTTGACTCAGGCATCCTGTTTCCTAGAGATAAGCAAAGTTAAGGTGGTGTAAAAATTCACCTAGGTCATGTAGGCATTACACTGGGTTATGATGTAAGGTTGGTTTGGAGACAGAAATACTAGGGGGTCTTTCTGCTCCATTGAACTAAGAAGCCTAGTAAAATTGGTGCCATGTCAGCCATATTAATGTTGTGTATGAACATATCAGAGAAAACAAGTCCTTAGTGGAGAAAGAAAAGGGGGTCGAATATACACCAAGAAAGAAAGCAGAGATGCCAGCTTCTACCTGGCTCTGCTTTTGATCCTCAGGCTCTGTGAGCTATCCCTATATAATTCCAATAAGTTCTCTATTTTACTTGTTAGGATGGTTTTCTACTCCTTAATCCCAAAGGACTCCTGTTTCCTGGGAGCCAAATAGCTAAACTTTTACACCTATGTTAACATTTATTTTAAAAATCCTATTGAGGTCTGTGTTGGTGAAGAAATGAAAGTCCATATTGTTTTGCCACACAGAAACAATCCTTATACCTATTTCTATACACACTTAGGTGCCGGTTCAGTTTTCCATCTGTCCTAAAAACAGTAGTGATAAAAAGGGAGAAAAAATAAATTCGAATGACATTACTCCGTCTGTTACTCATGTGATTTGAAAATGGCCTAAGCTAATAATAGAGCTTCCAAATTTCCATTTCTTCAGCAGAACTTGAATGCACCTGGAACTCTCTTTCAAGTTAATGTAAGCTGGCTATGCAAAGCGGTGATGAAAGCTGGCACTGGATCACAGGTATTCTCTGCATGCGAGCCCTTAGAAGGTACGGTGGAGCAAGAGCAAGGTGCTATGCTTAATGCTCAATTTCCTTCTTTAGTAGATTCAAACTGTACCCACATGGTCTCATAAAATGCTTAACTCAAATTTCTCTGAAATTGAAAACGCAGAATCCTTAATTATCTTACTTATGGAAAAACCTGTATAAAATCAAAACAAATTATATTTTGGCAGTGACTATAATAGATTAGGAAGGTCAAATGTAGTATTTTTTAACTGAACATACGTTTAGGAAAATATATCCCAATAGTTTATTTTCCTAAAAATCTTACAAAAACCCTTTGATGATTTTCTACTTGTGGAAGCCTGACACATGTATCATGTGTATGGATAGCTATCTAACATATGTATGTTGGCCCCATCAACAATAGCCTTCCTTTTCATTGAATCATCAAATTTCCTTATAGAGAGAATTTCAAATTTCACAACTCCAAAAACAGGTGGATCTTGGGCATACTCTGATTTTGAAACGTTCTGTAGATTTAAATGCAGCCTTACAGCTATCACTACCGTCATTCTTCTTTCAATTTATTTCATGGTGTTTTTATTAAGCACCTATTATATACCAAGCATTGAACTGATCACTTCATGCTTAATGAGAAAGACAAAGAAAAATACAGAGAGCACTAGAAGTTTAGAAATGAGCTGTAGCAACACAGGGGAGAGCAGTGGAAGGGCCTGGTTATGAGAATAACAATTTAGAACAATATGTATGTTCATTATTGAATCCCCATTAGTCTTTGGGAATTTAAGTGCATTCACACAGCTGAGAATTTGTGTGATGCCTCAGGAATTCACATACTCTGGTCTACTTAAGAGTGCTGGGTCATGTTTGGTCAATGTTCTCATGAAAACAAACATCGAAGGTCAGAAAACATCTTATTTAGTAATTAGGATAGTCTATTTTTAAATGGATAATAGTAGCAAATCTTAGAGCAGAGTAATGAAACCTTAAAACAGAGATAGGAGGAAAGATTT